>NC_000007.14:61063426-61327788 GCF_000001405.40 Homo sapiens
CACATGGAATCATCATGGAATGGAATCATACAGAATCATCATCAAATGGAATTGAATAGAATCATCAATTGGACTCTAATGGAATCATCAAAAGGAATCGAATGGAAGCATCGAATGGACTCGAATTTAATCATCATCGAATGGAATCGAATGGAATCATCAAAAGGACTCGAATGAAATCATAAATTGGACTCGAACGGAATCATTATAGAATGGAATCGAATAAAGTAATTGGATGGACTTGAATAGAGTCATCATGGAGTGGAATCGATAGGAATCATCGAATGCATTCGAATGGAATCATCATTGATAGAATTGAATGGGATCATCGAATGGTCTCGAATGGAATCATCATCAAATGGAATCCTTTGGAACCATCGAATGGAAAGAAATGGTATTATCGGATGGAATTGAATGGTTTCATCTATGAAAGGATTCGAATGGAATCATCCAAAGGAATCGAATGTAATCAACATCGAATGGAATCGTATGGACTCATTGAGTGGAATCGACTGGAATCACCATTGAATGGACTCGGATGGAATCATCAACAAATAGAACAGAAAGGAATCACCAAATGGACTCGAATGGAATCATCATCGAATGGAATCGAATGGAATCATCAAATGGGATAGAATGTAATCATCATAAAATGTAATCAAATGGAATCATCACATGGAATCGAATGGAATCATCATTGAATGGAATCAAATAGAACCATTGAATGGAATCAAATGGAATCAACATCGAATGGAATCGAATGGAATCATAGAACAGTATCGAATGGAATAATCATTGAATGGAATTGAAAGCAATTATTGAATGGACTCAAATAGAATCATTGAATGGACGTGAATGGAATCATTGAATGGAGTAGAATGGAATCATCGAATGGACACGAATGGAATCACCATCGAATTGAATCCAATGGAATCATCTAATGTACTCGAATGGAATCATCACCTAATGGAATAGAATGGAATCATCAAATGGAATCGAATGGAATCTTCATCGTATGGAATCGAGTGCAATCATCGAATGGACTTGAATGTAATCATCAGAGAATGGAATCGAATGGAATCATCTAATGGACTCGAATGGATTCAACATTGAAGGGAATATAATGGAATCATCATCGAATGGAATCAAATGGAATCACCTAACGGACCTGAAAGGAATCATCACTGAATGGAAAAAAAAATGGAATCAACATTGAATGGAATCAAATGGAATCATCATTGGATTGAATAGAATGAAATCATCATCGAATGTAATCAATGGAATCATCTAAAGGACACGAATAGCATCATCATTGAATGGAATTGAATGGAATCATCTAATGTTCTCGAATGGATTCATCATCTCATGGAACAGAATTGAATCATCGAATGGAATTGAATGGAGTCATCATCCTATGGAATCGAATGGAATCATCGAATGGACTCAAAAGTAATCATCGGGGAATGGAATCGAGTGGAATCATTGAATGGACTCGAATGGAATCATCATCAAGTGTAATCAAATGTAATTGTCTAATGGACCCGAAGGGAATCATCATCGAATTGAATCAAATGGAATTATTGAATGGACTCGAATGAAATCATCATTGAATATAATCAAAAGCAATCATCAAATGGATTCAAATAGAATCATGAAATGGCTCGGATGGAATCAGCATCAAATGGAATCACAAGGAATCACCGAATGGACTCGAATGGAATCTTCATCGAATGGAATCGAACATAATCATCGAATGGACTCGAATGGAATCATCATCGAATGGAATCAAAGGGAATCATTGAATGAACCCAAATGCAATCATCATTGAATGGAATCGAATGGAATCATCATCGAATGGAATCAAATGGAATCATTGAATGTACTCAAATGGAATGATCATCGAATGGAATCATATGGAATCATCTAACTGACTCAAATGGAGTCATCATCAAATGGAATCGAATGGATTCATTGAATGGACTCTAATGGAATTATCATCAAATAGAATCAAATGGAATCATCGATTGGACACGAAGGGAATCAGCGAATGGACTCTAATGGAGTCATCATCGAATGGAATCAAATGAAATCATCATCCGATGGAATCAACACTGAATGGAATCAAATGGAATCATCGAATGGAATGAGATGGAATCATCATCGAATGGAGTCAAATAGAAGCATCATATGAAATCCAAAGTAAACATCAATGAACGGACTCAAATGGAATCATCGACAAATAGACTCAAATGGAATCATCATCGAATGCAATCTAATGGAATCATCATCGAATGGAATCGAATGGAAATATCATCAAATTGAATCAAATGGAATCATGATGGAATTGAACTGAATGGCTCATAATCGAATGGAATTGAATGGAATCATCGAATGGAATCAAAGGCAATAATCATCGAATGGAATCAAATGGAATCATTGAATGGAATCGAATGGAATCATTATCAAGTGGAATTGAGTGGAATCATCGAATGGAATCGAATTGAATCATCGAATGGAATCAAAGGCAATAATCATCTAATGGAATCAAATGGAATCATCGAATGGAATCGAATGGAATCATCGTCAAGTGGAATTGAGTGGAATCATCGAATTGAATTGAATGGAATCATTGTCGAATGGAATGGAATGTAATCAATGAATGGATTTGAATGGAATCACCAGTGCATGGAATTGAAGGGAGTCATCATCGAATAGAATCGAATGGAGTCATCATAGAATGGAATCGTGTGAAATCACCTAATGGGCACAAATAGAACCATCATCAAATGGAATTGAATGGAATCATCATCAAATAGAATCGAATGGAATCACTCAATGGACTCGAATGGAATCATCATCAAATGGAATCGAATGGAATCAACTAATGGACTCCAAAAGAATCATCATTGAATGAAATTGAATGGAATCACCGAATGGACACGAATGGAATCATCATAGAGTAGAATCGAATGGCATCAACAAATTAACTCAAATTGAATATAATCAAATTTAATCAAAAGCAATCATCGAATCGACTCAAATGGAATTATCGAATGGACTAGAATGGAATCACCGAATGGACCCGAGTGGATTCACAATCGAATGGACTCTAATGGAATGATCGAATGGACTCGAATGGAATCATCGATTGGATTCAAATGGAATTATCAAATGGGCTTGAATGGGAACATCAAATGGACTCGAATGGAATCATCATCAAATGGAATCAAATGGAATCATCAAATGGAATTGATCAGAATCATCATCGACTGGAATCAAATGGAATCATCAAATGACTTTAATGGAACCATTATCAAATTGAATCAAATGGAATCATCGAATGGAATCAAATGGAATCATCAAATGGAATCTAATGGAATCATCAAATGGAATGCAACGGAATCATCATCGAATGGAATCAAATGGAATCATTGAATGGAATTGAATGGAATCAGCATCGAATGAAATCAAATGGAATCATCATCGAATAGAATTGAATGGAATATTGGAATGGAATCATCATCAAATGACGTCCAAAGGAATCATCAATTGGACTCGAATGGAATCATCATAGAATGGAATTGAATGGAATCATCGAATGGAATCGAATGGAATCGAACGGTGTCATCGAATGCACTCAAATGAAATCAACAATGAATGGTATCAAATGGTATCATCGAATGTAATCGAATGGAATCATCTTCAATTGGGATCAAAAGGAGTCACCGAATGGACTCGAATGGAATAATAATCGAAAGGAATCGAATGGAATCATTGAATGGAATCATTGAACGGTCTCGAATGGAATCATTGAAGGGACTCGAATGGAATCATCATCTTATAGAATCGAATTGAATCATCATTGAATGTAATCAAATGGAATCATCATCGAATGGAATCCAAAAGAATCAACATCAAATGGAGTCGAATTGAATCATCATCGAATGGAATCCAAAGGAATCATCATCGAACGGAACCAAATGGAATCATCATCAAATGGAACCGAAAGGAGTCATAATCGAATGGATTCGCATGGAATCATCGTCGAATGGAGTCGAATGGAATCATCATTGAATGGAATTGAAAGGAATCATCAAATGGACTTGAATGGAATCATTCAAAGAACCCGAATGGAATCATCATCGAATAAAATCGAATGGAGTCATCGAATGGACACGAATGGAATCATCATTGAATGCAATCGAGTGGAATCATTGAATGGAATTGAATGGAATCATCATTGAATGGAATCGAAAGGAATCATCATCGAATGGAATCGAATAGAATCATCATCGAATGGAATCAAACGGAATCATCATCGAATGGAATCGAATGGAATCATCATTGAAAGGAATCTAAGGGAATCATCGAATGGAATCGAACGGAATAATGCAATGGAATCGAATGGAATCATCATCAAATGGACTCCAGTGGAATTATCATTGAATGGTATCCAATGGGATCATCGAATGGACTTGAATGGAATCATCGAATGGAATCGAATGGAATCATCAAATGGAATCAAATGGAAACATCATCGAATGGAAGCTAATGGAATCATCAAATGGACTGGAATGGAATCATTGAATGGACTCGAATGGAATGATCATCGAACGGAATAGAGTGGAATCCTCGTATGTAATCAAATGGAATCATCAAATGGAATTGAATGGAATCATCATCAAATGGAATCGAATGGAATCTTCGAATGTAATTGAATGCAATCATCATCGAATGGAATCGAATGGAATTATCATTGAATAGAATCAAATGGAATCATTGAATGGAATCGAATGGAGTCATCGTCAAGTTCAATCAAGTGTAATCATCGAATGGAATCGAATGGAATCATTGTCGAATGGAATGTAATGGAATCAATGAATGGAATTGAATGGAATCACCGATGAATGGAATGGAATGGAGTCATCACTGAATGGAATCGAATGGAGTTATCGAATGGACTCGAATAGAATCATCATCGACTGGAATCGTGTGGAATCATCTAATGGGGAAGAATAGAATCATCATTGAATGGAATCGAATGGAATCATTGTCGAATGGAATGGAATGGAATCAATGAATGGAATTGAATAGAATCACCAATGAATGGAATGGGATGGAGTCATCATCGAATGGAATCGAATGGAATCATCGAATGGACTCAAATAGAATCATCATCGAATGGAATCATGTGGAATCATCTAATGGGGAAGAATAGAATCATCATCAAATGGAATCGAATGGAACCATGTAATGTACTCAAATGGAATCATCATTGAATGGAATAGAATGGAATCATCGAATGGAATTGAATGGAATCATCATTGTATGGAATTGAATGGAATCATCGAAAGGACTTGAACGTAATCATCAGAGAATGGAATCAAATGGAATCATCAAATGGACTCAAAAGGAATCATCATCGAATGGAATCAAATGGAATCATCGAATGTACTCGAGTGGAATCATCATTAAATGTAATCAAAAGCAAACATCAAATGGATTCGAATAGAATCATCGAATGGAATTGAATGGAATCATCATTGAATGGAATCAAATGGAATCATCGAATGGACTCGAATGAAATCATCATTGAATGGAATCGAATGGAATCAAAGAATGGAATTATCGAATGGACTCGAATGAAATCATCATCGAATGGAATCAAATAAAATCATCGAATGGAATCGAATGGAATCATCATCAAATTGAATCGAATGGAATCACGGAATGGACTCGAATAGAATCATAATCAAATGGAATTGAATGGAATCATCTAATGGACTGCAATAGAAACATCATCAAATGGAATCATCTATTGAACCCGAATAGAATCATCATAAAATGGAATCAAATGGGATCATCGAATGGACTCGAATGGAATCATCATCGAATGGAATCGAATGGAATCATCTAATGGACCTGAATGGAATCATCATTGAATGGAATAGAATGGAATCATCGAATGGAATTGAACGGAATCATCATTGTATGGAATCGAGTGGAATTATTGAATGGACTCGAAGGTAATCATCAGAGAATGGAATCAAATGGAATCATCAAATGGACTCGAATGTAATCTTCATCGAAAGGAATCAAATGGAATCATCGAATGGACTCGAGTGGAATCATCATTGAATATAATCAAAAGCAATCATCAAATGGATTCGAATAGAATCATCGAATGGACTCGAATGAAATCATCAACGAATGGCATCGAATGGAATCATCGAATGGAATCGAATGGAATCATCATCAAATGGAATCGAATGGAATCACGGAATGGACTCGAATAGAATCATAATCAAATGGAATCGAATGGAATCATCTCATGGACTGCAATAAAAACATCATCGAATGGAATCATCTATTGTACCTGAAAGGGATTCATCATAAAATGGAATCAAATGGGATCATAGAATTGACTCGAATGGAATCATCATCGAATGGAATCGAATGGAATAATCAAATGGACCCGAATGGAATCATCATCGAATCATCGAATGGAATCGAATGGAAACAACGAATGGACTTGAATGGAATCATCATCGAATATAATTGAAACAATCATCAAATGGATTCCAATGGAATCATCGAATGGACTCATATGGAATCATCATCGAATGAAATCAAATGGAATCATTGAATGGACTCGAATGGAATGGTCATCGAATGGAATCGAATGGAATCATGGAATGGAATCCAATGGAATCCTCTTCAAATAGAAATGAATGGAATCATCGAATGGACTCGAATGGAGTCATCATCAAATGGAATCAAATGGGATCATCGAATAGAATCGAATGTAATTTTCATTGAATGAAATCGCATTGAATTATCAAATGGACTCGAATGGAATCATCGTCAAATGGAATTGAATGGAATCATCGAATGGACTCGAATGGAATCATCATCGAATGAAATAGAAAGGAATCATTGAATGGAATCATCATTGAATGGAATTGAATGGAATGATCTAACAGACTCAAATGGAATTATTGTCGAATGGAATAGAAAGGAAACATCGAATAGACATGAACTGAATCACTATGGAATGGAATCGAATGGAGTCATCATCAAATGGAATCGTATAGAATCCTCTTCGAATGGAATTGAATGGAATCATCAAATGGAATAGAATAGAATTATCTCCGAATGGAAACAAATGGAATCATTGAATGAAATCAAATGGAATCATCATCGAATGGAAACATCATCAAATGGAATTGAACAGAATCATCATGAAATGGAATGGAATGGAATCATCGAATGGAATCAAATCTAATATTTGAATGGACTTGAATGGAATCATGATCGAATGGAATTGAATGGAATCATCAAAAGGAATTGAATGGAATCATTATCGAATGAATTGAATGGAATCATTTAATGGTATCGAATGGAATCATCTTCAAATGGAATCGAATGGAATCATCACATAGAATTGAATGGAATTTTCATCAAATGGACTCGAATGGAATCAACATCAAACGAATCAAATGGAATTTTCGAATGGAATGGAAGAGAATCATTGAATGGACTTGAATGTAATCATCAAATGGAATGGAATGGAATAATCCATGGACTAGAGTGCAATCGACATTGAATGGAATCAAATGGAATCATCGAATGGACTCAAATGGAATAATCATCGAATGGAATCGAATGGAATCATCAGTGGATGGAAACGAATGGAATCATCATCGAATGGAATTGAATGGAATCATCAAATGGTATCAGATGGAATCATCATCGAATGGAATCGAATAGAATTATGGAATGAAATCGAATGTGATCATCATCAAATGGACTCGAATGGAATCATCATCCAATGGAAACTAATGGAATCAACATCGAATGGAATCGAATGGAAACACCATCGAATTGAAACGAATGGAATTATCATGAAATTGAAATGGATGGACTCATCATCGAATACATTCGAATGAAATCATCGAATGGAATCGATTGGAATCATCATCAAATGGAATCGAATGGAATCACTGAATGGAATCGAATGGAACCATTATCAGATTGAAATGAATGGAATCATCATAGAATGGAATCGAATGTATTCGTTTAATGGAATCAGATGGAATCATCGAATGGGCTTGAATGGAATCATCGAATGGACCCGAATGGAATCATTATTGAATGGAATTGAATGGAATCATCGAATGGTCTCGAATGGAATCATCATCGAATGGAATCGAATTTAATCATCAAATGGAATCAAATGGAATCATCATTGAATGGAATCAAATAGAAGCGGCATCAAATAGAATCGAATGGAATCATCATCAATGGAATTGAATGGAATTTTCTTCAAATGGAATCGAATGGAAACATCATCGAATAGAATACAATGGGATAATCGAATGAAACTGAATGGAATCATCATCAAAACGAGTCAAAATAAAACAAAGAATAGAATCCAACAGAATCATTGAATGTATTCAAATGGAATCATCATTGAATGGACTCGAATGGATTCATCATCGAATGGAATCAAATGGAATCATTGAATGGACTCAAATGGTGTCATCGAATGGAATCTAATGTAATTATCATCAAATGAAATCAAATGGAATCATCGAATGGAATCAAATGGAATCATCATCGAATGGAATCAAATAAAATCATGGAATGCACTCGAATAGAATCATTGAATGGACTCAAATGGAAACAACATTGAGTGGAATTGAAAGAAAACATCAAATGGAGTTGAATGGAATAATCGAATGGAATCATCATCTAATGGAATAGAATGGAATCATTGAAGGGACCCAAAAGGAATCATGATCAAATGTAATCAAATGGAATCATCGAATGGAATCCAATGGAATCATCATTCAATGGAATCGAATGGAATCATCATCAAATGTAATCGAATGGAATCATCATCAAAGGGAATAGAAAGGAATCATCATCAAATGGAATCGAATGGAATCATCAATAAATGGAATCGAATGGAGTCTTCGAATGCAGTCCGTTAGAATCATCATCGAATGGAACCGAATGAAGTCATCATCTAATGGAATCAAATGGAATCATCGAATGGACTCAATGGAATCATCATTGCATGGAATCGAATGGAATCGAATGGACTCAAGTGGAATCATCATCGAATGGAATCAAAACAATAATCGATTGGACATGAATGGAATCACCATCGAATGGAAATGAATGGAATCTTCGAATGCAATCGAATGAAATTATTGAACGGAATCGAATAGAATCATCATTGAATAGAATCGAATTGGATCATCATCGAATAGAATCTAATGAAATCATCATCGAATGGAATCTAGTGGAGTCATCATCTAATGGAATTGAATGGAATCAGCAAGGAATGGAATCGAATGGAGAAATCGAATGGAATCCGTTGGAATCATCATCGAATGGAACCGAATGCAGTCATCATAGAATGGAATTGAATGGAATCAACGAAGGGACTCGAATTGTGTCATCATTGAATGTAATAGGATGGAATCATCAAATGGACTCGAATGGAATCATCCAATGGACTCTAATGGAATCATCATCGAATGGAATCAAATGGAATCGAATTGAATCATCGAATGGACTCTAATGGAATCATCATCGAATGGAATCGAATGGAATCATCGAATGGACTCGAATGGAATCATTGAATGGACTCGAATGGAATCATCATTGAATGTAATCGAGTGGAATCCTCAAATGGAATCAAATGGAATCATCAAATGGAATCGAACAGATTTATAAGAAACTTACTTGAACCAAACAATAGAAAAACAAACAAACCAAAACCCCCGAAAACTGTGATGAGCAAAGTAGACATCAGAACAGGAAATATCACTGGGGATGAAGAATAACATTTCACAATGACAAAGGGCAAAATGTACCAAGAAGTCATGTAAATATGAAATATGTACGCACACAATAGCATTACTTTAAAATACATAATATAAAACCTATTAAAACTGAAAGGTAAAATAGTAAAACCATAGTCATCCATGGGAATTTCAACAGTCTCCTGCCAGAAATTTTTAAATTTTGTTAAATGTAATGTTGGGAAGGTTAGAGAGGATCTTATAAATATAATTAGCCAACTTGATCTAATTGAATCTTTTAGAATAATCTAAGGATGAGGAATGAGGTAGCAGAGAAAGAAAAGGCAGACATCAACGTGACATTAGTGTTTCAAGGCTATGAGAATACACCAATAATGGTGTGTGTGTGTGTGTGTGCAGATGGTAAGCTCAATCTTAAAAATGTTGAGTTTTAACTGACAATTCATTATTAGGAAAGATAAGAGGAAATGATATCTAGTGAGAGGCTATATGACTGAACTCTAAGAGCAAGGTCACAGCAGAAATTGTGTACTTGACAGCTCTATAAGGAGGTCAGTCAAAAATAAGTCAGTGATGAATTCTCTGGTGTAAAAGCAGAGGAATGAGGATTAGATTTAAAACACATGGAAGCAGAGTGACTTATGATAAAAACATGAGCTTGAAAATCCTGCAGAGAGGGCTTTAAATCCTGGGTAAGATATTCTGCTTGTGTAGGCAATAGTGATAAAAACACAACAACAAAGAGAGGTAAAGAGCACTTTCCTTTGATATAAGTAAAGGGCACGTCTTATTGCACATATATATATATATATATATATATATATATATATATATATATATATATATATGTATGTATGTATTCAACTGACATTCAACATGTTTCTCTCACTGAAACAGCAAGCTCTCCAGGCCTTCATGTTCCCAGTGAGGTATGTAACCTTCTGATGATTATACTCACCCTCCCTCATTGCAAAGCTCCCATTGTTATTGTCTTGGCTCTGGATTCCCTCAAAAATAGACTATGAAACAAATATCTGGGGTCAGATACTTTAATCAGAAATTGAGTGAGAAAGCACAGAAGTGGAGAAAATGAAACAGAACACGAAGCCAGTGTGAATGAGTAGTTACTGCTATGTGCTCAGTAATGATGGAGGTATGGAGATTGTGTCAAAATAACTTTACAAAGAGATGGGGATGCTGGAATTCCCATCTCTTATTGCTTAAGGATTGCCTTAGAATCATTAACTCTCCACCCTTAACTCCTTCTTTTTTCCTATGTGTGGTTGAGAAGCACTGGTTAGCCTCAAGAAGCTTGCAGGCAGGCCCAAAAATCAGAAAGACAGGCATGATGTGGGGAGCTCTCAGTTAGCTGGAAACAGGTGAATTTCAGGTGAACACATTGAGTCCAGGACATAGAAGACAAGTCATCAGCAATATCTGCTATAGCCAGTTTTCTTTTTCTTTTTAAGAATATATATACTTTTTATTGGGGGTCCCCAAGTCCCCCTTTGGTTTAATGATTCACATCACCCAAGAAAGCTGATTTTTTTTGTGGTTATAGTTTCTAACAGTGAAAGAAGCCAGATTAAAATAATCAGAAGCATAAAAGCACATAAAGTAGAGTCCAGGACAAACCAGATGTGAGCTTACAGGTGTCCTTTCATAGTGGGGACTTCACACTGACTAATTTTCTTTACAATGGTGTGAGACAACATGTGTGAACTTGTTGCCAACTAGGGAAGCTCCGTCAGTCTTGAGTCCAGGGTTTTTATTAGGATTCCACCACATATGCATCGAGCGTCCTGTGACTGAACTTAGCAACTTAGTTCCCAACCTCCCTATGCCCTAAGAGAGGTCATATTAATATGGCATTACACAAAGTCATAGGCATACAGAAACAGGTACTCACAAGAAATCACGTTGTTAGCATCAGTTATTTGATATGACCTACGTTGTCACGCATACAAAGACTCTCATCAGGCAACATATACCAAGGGCTCATAGGTTATCATCTCCCAGAAGCTTGTCAAGGGCTAGTCCTGAAGAACTTTGGAATGCACAAGGTTTTGGAAAGCCATGTCTGCAGAATTAACCCTTCCTTACACAACCTCCAAGAATTTTTTTTTATCTTTAAAAATGTTCTTTGATCTTTGACAATGTACCAACCAATACTGAGTAATTAGTAACAACAGTGTACTCCTGAGTACTTGCACCTGCAAGGAGAAAAAGGACAGATGCACTTACATAGGACAGATGCAAATAGACACCACTATGACAAGTAAAGCTGAAATAATCAATAAATTCCTAAAGACAAAGTGGGGCTGGTCAGATTGGGAGACTGCTGACAGCTGCAGAAGTTGGGAAAGATCCATCATCTCGAAATCTTTTTCCCCACAAACCCACTGCAATCTCTCAAGCAATTGGTAAGGAATCCACGAGAGTCTCTATATGACATAGATCAGGGAGAGCAGAAAACTTGGGAGGTGACCAGGTCTTGGGGTCCGAGCCCTTATGAATGGGATTAGTGCCTTTATAAAAGAAGCTCATTGGAGTTCTTGTGTGCCTTTCACTATGTGAGGACATAGAAAGAAGGCAGCATCTGTGAACCATGAAATGGGCTCTCATCAACACTGAATTTGTGAGCATCTTGACCTGAGATCTTACAGCCTCAAGAAGTGTGAAAAAAGAAATATCTGTTGCTTTTTACTCACTCAGTTTATGTTATTTTGTTATAAGAGTCCAAACAGACCAATATATTCCACTTAATATGTAGGGGAAGGCAACAAAAACTGCCACACTTAGGATCCTCCTGATGCTGGGATTATGAAAACAGGAAAAACAAAACAAAACTGCTCTTGAAGGTGAAGGAGGAATATCACTGAGCTCACCAACACAGCCAGGAAAAGAACAGAAGTGTGAGAAGTCTACATTCCTGAGACCCTGAGAAAAAGTACCTGCATAAGACTGAGATGAAATTACCTACTCTAGTTATGATTGAAATCCCAAAAAGAAAAGAGGGAAAAATAATGGAGCAAAAGAAATATTTTTCAAAATAACTGCCAAAAATATTCTAAAAGAAGTGACAGAAAATCAAACTTCAAATATAGGAAACTCAGAGAATGTCAAATAGAACAAAAAGAAATAAGTATTGCATCTTGAAAAATCTTTAAAAAATCGTCTAAATTTTATATCTTGCTCCAAATATATAGAGATATAAATAGGTTATCATCAAGATATGGAGAAAGCCATATCATGGAAACACTAAAATAAGGCTGTGGAAGGACTACATTGATATTGGACACAACATAGTTCGGAACAAGAAATACTATCAGAGATGAGAGATAATAGATAATAGAATAATGAAATCTCAAGATTTAAACATCCTACTAATTATGGTATGCAGCTAACAACAAAACCTCCAAATACATGAGGTAAAACAGGAAAGAAATCAAAGGTGAACTAGAAAAATCCAAAATTATATTTGCAGACTTCAACACTTTTGTCTTAGTAATCGAAAGACTAGGCACAAACTCAGTAAATATGTGGAAGAAGATAAGAACAACACTATCACCAACAAGACATCCAATCTTCAATGACAGATACTCTTTCCTTTCAAGTGAAAAAAAAAACAGTATGGCATATTCTCTAACAAACCCAGAATTTCTAATATTTGCGTTCTTCCTTCCTTCTTTCCATCTTCCTTTCTCTTCTCTTCCCTTCCCTTGCCTTCTTCCTTCCTTTCTTCTTTTCCTCTTCCCTTTCTTTTCTTTTTTCTTTTCCTTTCTTTCTTTTCTTTCTTTTTTCTCCTTCCTTCCTTATTTCCTTCTTTGTTTCTTTCCTCTTATTCTTCCTTCCCTCCTCCCTCCCTTCCTTTCTCTCTCCCTTTTCTTCCTTCTTTTCTCATATTCTTTCTTTCTCACGTTCTTGCTTTCTTTCCTTTTTTCTTCCTTCCTCCCACCCTCCATTACTTCCTTCATCCCTCCCTTCCTTTCCTCTTTTTCCTTCCTTCCTTCACCTGTTTATTTTCTTTGTTTCTTTGCCTTCCTCCCTTTTACCATTCTCTCTTCCTCATTTCCTTCCTCCCTTCCTCCTTTCTTTCTTTCTCTCTTTCTCTCTTTCTTTCTTTCCTTCTTTCTTTCTTGTGTTCATGCTTTCTGTTTTCTCCCTTCCTGCCTTTCTCCATTCCTCCCTCCCTCCCTTCCTTCCCTCATTTCCTCCTTCTTTTCTTTGTTTATTTCCTTCCTTCCTTCTTTCCTTTCTTCTTTTTCGTTCTTTGTTTTTTTTCTTTCTTTTTCTTTAATGCAATTCATATTATTTTTAAAAAATTAAGAGAGGGAAACAGAAAAATAAAGAACGCTTTAATCTGCAGGTCAATAGATTTTGTCTGCTGTAGGCCAAAGAATGGCCTCCCAAAAATTTTCATGTCCTAATTCCCAGAGTCTAACATACAAATATGTTAGGTTGCACGGCAGTGTGAAATTAGATTTCAAGTGAAATTAAGGTTGTAGAAAAATGATAGAGAGATTTTCTTAAATGGCTGGGATCAATGAAATGACAAACTTCCTTATAAGTGAAAGAAGAAGGCAGAAGAAAGGCAACCTTGGAGGTGGTGGCATGAGAAATTACTCAACATCACTGACTTTTAAGATACAAGAATGAGGACACAGCGCGGTGGCTCATGCCTAATCCCAGCTCTTTGGGAGGCTAGGGTGGGTTTATCACGAGGTCAGGAGATCGAGACCATCCTGGCTAACATGGTGAAACCCCATCCCTACTAAAAATACAAAAAAATTAACTGGACGTGGTGGCAAGTGTTTGTAGTCCAAGCTACACAGGAAGCTGAGGCAGAAGAATCACTTGAACCCGGGAGACAGAGGTTGCAGTGAGCTGAGATCGTGCCACTGCACTCCAGCCTGGGTGACAGAAGGAGACTCCATCTCAAAAAAAAAAAAAAAAAGGAAAATGGGATATAAGAATGAGGTCATGTTCCAAAGAATAAAGGTGGCCTCTGGATGCTGAAAAAAATCAAGTAATAGATTCTGCCACATAGCCCTCAGAAAGACTGCAGCCCTGCCCAAAACTTGATGTTAGCCCTGTGAGTTTCATTTAAGGCTTCTGAACTACAGAACTGTAGGATTAACGGTCACTTTATTGTAAGATATGAAGTTTATGGTAATTGGTTACATCAGCAAGAGGAAGTTTATATTGTAATTGTATCATGAAAATGAGAACCATAATTTAAAAACTGCTTTTAATACTGCACTTGGATGTTTGAAATCATGTACATGGAAATGATCTCTATGTGCATGAGGGAGGATAGAAAATTGATGGCAAAATAATGCAAATGCAAATCTTACACTCATTTCGATGTAGGTTTCATTTAATCTTTGAAATGAAAATGAAATTAAAAGATTGTGATCTTTTGATGAAATTAGACTAAAATGAACAATAACAAAATAAGAACTTACTTATATTCTTTATATGGTCAATAAAGAAGTGATAGTGAAAGAAACAAGATCAAATGAAGGTGATGATTTAGGAAGTTGGAAAGATAGCTGACACTACAAAATGGTATATAACCAGTGAACACTTAGACACATTGACTGATGAACTTCAGCTTTTGGCTTGGTGAGAGCATAAAATGAGAGCAGCTGAGGTTTGCAAATTTGTAATCTCCTTGAGGAAAAACAGGGGAAAACACATCTCAGCCTAATAAGATTTATCTACTAAAGAGTCTAGACTTGATCCATTTGTCCTTGTAATTCAAAAGCTAAATCAAATACTGATTTGATGTATCTTGTGAACAACCATTGCTGATTATCATCGCATACCTGGGATTCTCTTGTATCTGATATCTAAAATATTTGGTAATTCCTGGACTTTCTCTTTTCAAACCCAGTACAGTTTGAGTCTTAGAACAGTTGTGTTTGAGAAATTCTTCCCTCTACTGCATCTGTGAATGGGTATAGCATGGTTACATACATACTGTCACTCCATAGAACATTTGTTAAATTAAAGCCAAAGTTTAAAGCAAGAGCTTTAACTTAGTTGTTTTACTAATGGTTTCCTCCCCAATGGCCACAACAATATTGATACCATCACACCTTTTAACATAAAGCTTGGTGTTGTCTATTTTTCAGGCACTGTCTTCTATATGATCTCAGTATTTTAAAAATCAGCTTCCAGCCCATATGGTGGTTCATGCTTGTAATACCAGCAGTTGAAGAGGCTGAAATGCGAAGATTCCTTGAGCCCAGGAATTCAAAAGCAACCTGGGCGACATAGCAAGACCCAGTCTCTATCAAAAGTTAAAAAAAAAAGTGGGCATGGTGATGTGCACCTGTTGTCCTAGCTATTTGGGAGGCCAAAGTGGAAGGATTGCTTCAGCTTGGGAGGCTGAGGCTGCAGTGAGCAGTGATTGCACCACTGAACTCCAACCTGGGCAACAAAGGAAGACCCTATCTCAAAAATATATATATAATAAAAATAAAAATCAGCTCTCATTGATTTCTATGTAAATATGAACAGGTGATGTCCATATAGACATAAATAATAATATTTCTGACAATGGGTCCATATGATCTTCAAAATGTAAAATGCCTATCTGTGTAATTGACTGGTTAGTCTCATTAATGAATATAGATTCAATTCTACTTTCTTGTTCTAGATAAATTATATAATCTAGGCTTTCATTTCTCTTATTTACTGATAACAACAGGAAGAATGACAACATATCTATTTTGGAAATTTACTCTGGTAGGAGTAAAGATGAAACAATGATAGAATTGCACGGACAACTAGAAAAAAGTATAGTCTTCTGATATTCTATCACATCACATACTAAAGTCCTCATAAAACTCAGATATTTTATCTAAAAATGTTATTTTCATCATAGGAATTATCAAAGCATGAGACTACAATTGTATTAAAATGTGCTTGTATCACAAGCACAGGTGCTAAAAAGGAGGGGAAAGCATCCTTACTGATATTTTCAACGTATGTTTTACTTTTCATCAACATGAATCTCAACTTGATATGATGCAGATTGAAGGAAATCACCCATAATTCCATATGAAGAAGGCCTGTGATATTTTATGGGAAAATAAATAGAGAAAATGCTAACAGAAACCCTATTAAGTGTGAAGTTTATGGAGCAAACACAAATCCAGTGGTTAAAGATACACACTCGAGTTCTGTTTGTTGTCTTGGAACAATACGGTTTAGAGGTGACTGGCGGGTGAGGAGAACATATGCGAGTTCACCAAAGAGAAAAGCTGAATGAGGCAATGCCTCTTCCTGACCATATCTCTTACTCAGATAATGATTTAATTTATTGTCCAGTAAAGGGTATATTAAAAAATCATATTAGAAGTCATGCAGTGAAGTTGTCCAGGGAAATCAAGACTTAACAGTCTCACTGTGACAATAATGAACAGGGGGATTCCCTCAAGATAGACTAGGACATGACCCCACACTGGCAGGTAGTAGTACCAGAAAAGAACGCATGGAAAATCTTTACCTTATGCTTGAGGTAGGGACCAGGCTAAAGTGAAAGCCAGACCTAAAATTCTATCTAAAATAAATCCACAATCGAAGAAAATATGTGGTGTAGAGGCATAGAATGTCTTTACTGGATCATTGCAATAGTAAGATAAATTCAACTTTTTACATTGTTTTATTTTCCTCCAGTTAGGGCTTGAGGTTTGTCTCTGGAGAGTGACTGTCAATTGCAGCCCTGCCTTTCTGGGGTTCGGGTCAGGGGGTTGTGGATGCTTAACATGTGCCTTTCACAGGACACTTCCTTACCCCAGCAGTGGCCAGGTGTGCATGCCACGACCAGGCCTCCCTCTCACAGAACATCTTTTGAGACTCGGAGATGCCTGGTGACTGTTGCCTCACCTGTGTCCTGTGTATTTCTGACAAGAGCCACTCTCAGAGACCCTGGCCAGGAGGAGAGTTAGGTTCCAGTGTAGGTCAGGTCAGACCCATGGAGGCCACAGAACCAAACATGGGAAATCACAGAAGTAGGTTTATTACTCACAGATCCAGAGAAGAGAGGGTAGCTGAGAAGAGGGTTTAGCTGTGTCCCCAGCCAAATCTCATCTTGAATTCCCACATGTTGTGGGAGGGAACAGGTGGGAGGTAATTGAATCATGGGGGCAGGTCTTTCCCATGCTGTTCTTCTGATAGTGAATAAGTCTCACAAGATCTGATGGTTTTATAAAGGGGAGTTTCCTGCACAAACTCTCTTGTCTTGTCTGCTGCCATGTGAGACGTGCCTTTCAGCTTGCATCATGATTGTGAGGACTACAGAGCCATGTGGAACTGTGCATCTATTAAACCTCTTTCTTCTGGAAATTACCCAGTCTTGGGCATGTCTTTACCGGCAGTGTGAAAATGGACTAATAGAGTAGCACACCTCATAGGGTGAACAAAATGGGGAAGATGAGTGGGGAGCGGGAGAGAGAAAAGGGTTCTGTGTGACTCCAGCCTTTATTGGGCCCAGAACATTACCCAAATAAGTATTACATGGGCACTAGTCGGTGGAGTGAGTGCCAGCAGGCACATTTCTTGACTCCCGCAGCAAGAGAGCATGTCACTGTGGCGTCTGGGGGTTGTCCATGTGCACTGTGTGGTCTTTGGGGTGAGTCAGGTAGGTTGTATCCAACGGTTCCATAGCTGGTAGTCACCACGAGGAGGCAACTGTGTAGGGTCAATATCTGGGCCAGCCACACTGAGGAACTGTGAGGGTTAGATCTGGAAATTGTCAAGGGAATATGAACCCATCTACCATATGAGAGAGTTCAACTTATGTTCAATGTGAATATCATGGCAATATTAAAAGGGAAGAATTCGCTCCATACGTGCTTGAGGTAAATAGGAGAAACCTAGAATTTATGTAAACAGTGAGAAGATTGGATGCGTTTTCCGTCTCATATTTTAATACTAGCAGCATATTATATATGTCAATCCATCAGGCGTTCAGAAATACATGCTTATGAGAATTTTTTGCACCATCAGACAAAAGACAAGGGTAGAAGACATGTGTAACCCTATAAACACTAGTAAATTAAAAACAGAAGGACCTTTATGTCCTAACATATCTGTGTTGTGAAAGGCTGCCCTGTGAAATACGGGATATCTTAACATATTTTAAAAATCATAGGTGCCAATATTTTTTAGAAATCCACTTAAATTTTCTCTTGCTATTTTACAATGCCTATTTATTTATTTATTTAGTGGCTCTGCTGATTTTGATGTATATCCTAAGCTTTACATTTTCTTTAAAAGATGTTTTATACAACTTTTTGTAAAATGTTTCAGTATCTTCAAATTCTCTCCCTGTCCTTCTGTTTTGCTCTTATATGGTGGTCTTGAGTCTTTTATCTGGCTTTTCAAACCTAGTAAGACTAAGACACTGAAGTAACTTTGCCCGTGGTTTGGTAATGCCTTCTAAAGCACATCCTAAGCTCTCGTGCATACAGGGGTCTCCTTTGAGCTCTGTGCTTTTGAGATCCCATATACCAAAATTCCAGTACTCCAAATCAGTACTGCTCAGTTTTAGTGACTAAGTTTAAAAATGTATTTTAATAGGAAGTTAGTTTAGTGCACTCTTGCTTCTTTCTTGACTGTTTGTATACATGTATATTCCTTTAAATGAATCTAGGAATTTATTTAAAAGTGTTAAATTATACTAATGAAACTGTATATGGTTGTGAATTCATAAGTGAATCTGGAAAGAATTTGTCTTTATGATACTAAATCCTTTTTATCCAAGAATCATATGTCACCTTATATTTATTCCAGTCTATATTTATATCACTGAGTAAATATATAGAAATGTAGATACATACAGCTGTAGTTATAGATACAAATATAGATATAACATGTTAAATCTATATCTATCCCATATAACATATATACATGTTATATGTGTGTGTATATATATATGTTTATGTTATTAAAGAGCTCCCTTAAAATTTTTCTTTTATTTCCCATATAATTTTAGGTCGAGCTTGAATTTTCCTTGTATAAAGAAGCAAATATTTATACTACTTTTAATAATGATGTTTAGACATTGTATCTTATTTTAGCACTGAATATTTTCACAATTATTATAAATAGTATCTAATATTAATAATGTACCTGTTAAAAATATTTAAAATTTTACCTTTGAATTATTTTATTGTTGAATTAAAATTCCTTTAATATGACAGTCAATTTCTATTTTATGCTTTCTCTATGCATATGCAAATTAATCTATCCACTTCTCTATCTCTATGTAGTAACATGAAAATCAGGTCTCTATTCTTCTAATGGACATACACATGTTTGCATATAGAATATCAGACCCTTTATAGCATTTAAAATCTTTAAAGACATGAATATTGCCTTTTAACGAATATATTTTAGCATGTACTGAGAATCCCCTATTTATTTTTAATTTGGGCTAATCAATATGATTATTAATATTATTGGATTACCAAATTTGGAAACACACTTTCATACCCAAGGTGGATATTTGTTTTATTTTTTTTGCCAATTTCTTGTCTTACTGTTTCAATATTGTTGGATATTATTTTTATTTTATTTGGCATTTTTGTATCAACATTTGTAATTGAGGTACTCTACATATTTTTTCTTCAATATCTGGTGGGTTTTATAATTACTGCTATATTGGATTTGTAGTAGACATTGACAAAAATTATTCCTGTATGTTTCATAGCTGTATGAAAGAAACTAATATATTTTACCCCTAAATATATTTCCTTGATATATGTCAAAGTGGCTATTGAGAAGGGCTGTAAATGCAAAGTTAGCTGCAAAGCTGTCTTGGGGAGATTTGCATCGGTAGAGAATCTGCCTTGATGCAGCCAGGCTTTCTCTGAGGTCTGCCCCTTTGTCTGGATCTAGGAAAGCTTAACTGAGAATCTGAGGTCTCCAAAGGTCTGAAAGAAACATTTTCTGTCTATTCTCTCTGAGGACTGCTCCCAGTGAGGTTCCACCTATGTAACAAGTCCACTGTTGCTAGCCAGGGTCGTTTTCACACATAACCTATTTTTTTTTTCCCTGTGATCCAAGACCCCATTCTTTCTGTAAACTTCATGTGGTAGATAAGCTTCTGCACGCATCATGTGTCTAGGTCTTCGTTCTAAGGGCCCCAGTGTACACACATTGCAGAAACCTGTATGCCTTTTCTACTATTTATCTGCCTCCTATTAGTGATTTTCAGGGAAACTTCAGAAGGCAAAAGGGACATTCTCCTTTAGCCTATTCTCAGACAAAATCCCCCAACATTTAACTGATTCCTAATAGTTTAAAATCACTTTGAAAAATCGATATATTTATAACCTTTTCTTCCCTCTATGATTTCTGGTCAGCTTGGGTTTTGATTTTCATTCCATTTACTTCATCCTCGAAAAGATCTATTTTACGTCTATTTATTCTCATTTATGGACATTGAGAAAAGAAAATAACTTTCATGAGAGAAATGCAAGTCCTTTAAATAATCAGGTCCAGAGAGATACTCAAATGAGACAGAAGTTCTGTCCTGCTCCTCTTTGAGCTGTGTGTTCATCTAGGCTGCTTGCTGTTGCCACAGTAGCTATAAATTAACCAATAATGCCACATCAGACACTAATCCACACCCAATAATAGTGTAACAGTGTATAGCCAGTCACTAATAAATGTTATTTCCATAAGCCAATGAGAATTTGTGACAAACCTCTTTACATCATCCCACTTCTGGACCCTTTTTTGCCTTTAAGAAACTGCTTCTTGCAAAGCTCCAAAGGGAGTTCATATCCAAGGATACTTGGGTCTGTTTCTTCCAGGCAGCTGTCCTCATTGTGGCTCAAGTAAACTCTTTGAATTACGTTTTGTGCTTCAGCCCCTTCCACTTAGATTAACAACATGGATTTGTGTCACCATGTACAGCAATTAAAATGTTTACACTTTTCCCCTCGAGGGCACTGATGTGTTTTCCTGAGCACTTGGAATAGCTACGTAGTGTTTCCTGTCTAGATTATGGTTTCTCAACCTTGTTGCTACTTACCTTTAGGACCAGAGGATTCTTTGTTGTGGAAGGCTGCCCTAGCAGTGCTAGGTGTTTCGTATGACCTCTAAATTTCACACCTCCACCAGTCTTGACATCCCCACAATAACCCTAGATATTGACAAATGTCTCCTGGGAAAAACTCTCCACCAGTTGACAGGCAAAGTTCTGGAAATATTGGAATTGTCAATTGAGATTTAATGTTATCCAAAACAAATATTTTTCTTTGTTTTCAAACATCTACTTCCATCTACTTATCTACTTATTTTTACTTTTATTTGTAACTTAAATCCATCAAGGAGAGAGAGTGCATTTTCTGTTATGCTAAATTTTTGCAGAATGTATTGATTTTTTAGGACCTGATATATGGATGATATGTAGATATTACATGTTTGTATTATCAAATTTCAGGGTGATAAAAAATAAATACTTATAATATTTATATTGTCACTGTATATTAGTTATTTTCTTTCTTCACTACAGGAGTTTTTCAACCTATAGGCTATTTTTCAATTCTAGGTTATCCAGTAGATGTTGAAATGTTGTGATTAAATATCTACTTCTCAAGCATTCATCTTTGCAAATGAAACAATCCCAAGCTCTTATAATACACCTCATATAAAGGACAGATTAGTCAATATATGGTTCAGAAATAATTATGTAATATTTATAGAAAATTAAAAATTTAGATCCTTAACTCAGATAACAATAATCCAAATTAAAATTTGATTTCATTACATAATTTAAAATGACACCAGAATACTAGTAAAAATGTAGATAAGTTTATGTAATCTTTTTAGCTGTAGGACTTTATTAGCATAAATTCAAATACAGGAACCAAAGTAAGATTGAGACCTATAGTCAAAGGTTAAAATGTACACATTATAGGGACATGATTAAACTAATTTAAAGCATGATAACATGGAGAAATATTGCAAAACATACATTTTACTGAATTAATTGTTAATATCTAATCATTATGTGAGAACAAAATTAAAGAGTAGCTACACACGCACACACCCACATACAAGTGCAATATTGTCAAATAAACGATGTTCAGCTACACTAGAAATCACACCTGTGTTTTCTCCACAGAAAAGATTAAAAATCACAATAATATTTATTGTACATATGGAGGTAAAGATACTCAAAATATTACCCTACATTTTTTTTTGAGATGGAATTTTGCTCTTATTGCCCAGGCTAGAGTACAATGGCACAGTCTTGGCTCACTGCAACCTCAGCCTCCCAGGGTCAAGTAATTCTCCTAGCTCAGCCTCCCAAGTAGCTGAGATTACAGGCATGCACCACCACATTCGGCTAATTTTTGGTATTTAGTAGAGACGGGGTTTCACCATGTTGGTCAGGCTGGTCTCCAACTCCTACCTTCAGGTGATCTACCCACTTCAGCCTCCCAAAGTGCTGGGATTACAGGCGTGCACCTGGCCAGCTTTTTGACATATTTCAAGATGGCTACTCGGAAGACTGGTGATAGCTTCTTCTACAAGAATAGCTGAAAAGCTGTGTTTGTTGGGAAGATTGGCATTTGTAGAGAAAATCTGCATTCATATAGACAGGCTTTCCCTGAGGTACTCCCTTGTTTGGGTTTAGGAAAGATTAACTGAGCCTGGCACATTTACATTTTTAAAAACCATTTCCTATCTATACTTCCCAAGAGGAGGGCTGCTCCCTCTGAGGTTTCATCCATGTAACAAGACCACCTCTGCTGCCAGGCTCCCCTTTCTTCCTTGTCGTCACCTGTCTTCCGCAAAGCCTGATTTACCAACCTACAGCTCTGTGTTTTCTGTAACCTCAAGACAGCATAGGTGTGTTGAATACCTTGCCTTTCCTGGAGTTTTTATATATATAGTATATATTTGTATATCTATTTATATTATACAAATATTTGTATAGATATATTTATATACATTATGTAAACTCCAATTGCATACTTGTGCACATATCTGTAAACCTTTGTTTCCTGTTAATTTGTACATTATCAGTTTGTTTTATAGACTCAAATAATTAAAGCTTCAAGGGAAAAATTTAAACTTTCCTATAGAGAAAAGACAAATATATAGGTGACAAATAATATTTAGAGTGTAAGACACTTTTTAAAGGTATATTTGCAATTTGTGTCAAAACATTTAAATATGCATTTGTTATTTTAACTATATAATTTCAAATAATTTAAGCCAAATACATAGTATATGCAGAAAATTTAGCAATATATCTATGTAGCACCTTACTGTGCATTACTGTAACCAGCCGTCTAAAATAATTATTTAAGGTAGCAGCTACTTTTCATATAGTGCATTTTTTTCACAGACCTTTTAAATAGGACAAATAACATTCAAACTTTATTTTTAAATTTGCAGAATAGTAGTTTTCAGCAGATGGTTTATTTTAGCAAATTCCATCTTCACATTGTGCTATGCTTTTATGAGTTCCAGCTGTTAACGGATAATATTTTACTGCTGAAACTATCATGTGTGATATAAGTGCTCATTATGTGCCTTAAAACACAAGCAATATAATTATTTTCAACTTGGAGCAAATTAAAATCTTATCAGCAATTTAAAAACGCTAGAGTCGTCTTCTTCTTGTTAATTATTTTAAACTTGTATTTTTCTCTTTAAGGTTTTAGTGAGTTGTCTTATCAAGGAGAAGAACTCAAGCTGATTATTCTTTTTTTTCTCTTCCATCCACCTCGCAGGTGTGTTAGTAATTTCATTTCTCAGAGAAAGTTCTGTCATATCCATCTTACAAGATGAGAGACCTTTTAACATCTTCCATTCAGATGTGATACAAGTAATGGAAAATATTCCAGCTTCATGAATATGGTGATAGAAATAGTTATCCTTCTAACCTCTTTCAGTGCCAAATGTTTACTTTACTCAGTGAATTACTCAGTTGACTTGTAATTTCTCCTGAAATCACTAATGAGAGGATCAGAGGTCTGGCTGTGGTCTGTACCTCATATGACTCCCAGCGCAGACAATTGTTTCTATGGAGCACAGACAGTTGAAAGGATTGACTTCCTGCCTAGAATAGTTTCTGCTTTGCTTCTTATCCTTCCTGTGGAGATTACAGAATATCTGAATTGCTTTTCTCTCTTGAGAAAAAACGCAACAATTCTCCCACCGGAGAGGAATGTAAACTGTAGTAAGTTAGCAGAACCAATCCGTAAAGTTTTTACATTGTTTGTTGCAAAATGCCAAAATGCAGAGCTGGTGTCTCCATCACTAAACTTTTCTATCCCTCATTGCTCTTTCTTTGACTGCAATAGGATACCTCTAGGCAAATCTGTTTTCCCGAGACAGAGTGCCATTTTGGTGAGCTATAAGCACACTCGATGGTAGGCTGAAATACTAGCTTTTATCTATGGCAAAATGGAATCATATCAGTGATTTTTTTAAAAAGGAAATTTAACTCTTGCTATGGTTTGAATACTCGCCCCTTCCAATCTCATGTTAAAATTTGATCCCCAATGTCGCAGATGGGGCTTACTGGGAGGTGTTTGTACATGGGGTTGGAACTTCATGAATGGATAATACCCTCCCTAAGAAATCTAAAGCTATCCTCCCTCCTCGGTGCCCTCAGGAATGAGTGTACCATTCTTTATTCACCTATAATTCCCCCACCCATTCTTTTTGAGATATTGATTACATGTATGTTACACTGCTGGATATCGTCTGACGTATCAGCGAGTTTCTGGCCTTCTTATTTTAGTTTACCCTTTGTCCTTTAGTTTGTAAAGCTTCTATTTTTTTCTATAAATTTTCTGATGTTAGGATAAAATCCATTACTTGTTCTATCTCATGGAATTTTTATTTCAAATATCTATTTTTCATCTATACATGTCACATTTTTCATTTTATAACTTCTATTTTTCTCCTATGTTCAATTTTCATTTAAGTACCTTGACATATATACGTATTTATCTATATGTATTTATAAAATATATTTAATTTAAGGACCTTGAAATTTTCCCGTTTTCTGTCATTTATAAATGACTTATTTTTATCCTGTTAATATATATCTTAATTATATATATCTTACGGCTTCTTTGCATGTCAGAGTTTTTTTTGGGTATTTTGATGTTATGCTATTTAATATCTACATTTCATTGGCTACCTTTGAACAATGTTGTGGCAGGGAATTCAGTAACTTCAGGATGAGTATTTGTTGTTGTTTTAATTCTTCTCTTTAAACTTTGTTGAGTTAGTCTAGAGCCATCTGTAATTTGGAGCTAAATGAGCACTGTCACTAGGGCATAAACCTCCAGTTGTCTTTACTGAATATCCTGGAGGTACAGAGGGGATTCCCTTCTCTGATTAGAATTTGGAATATAAAGAGAAAAGAGAAAAATAGAAAGCTATGCATAAACACGTGCATTAAAATGAATTTTATGTGGGCTTTTTCATGAAAATGTTCCTAAGGTATTTTTTTTTATTGTGGTAAAATGCACATAACATAAAATGTACTCTTGACCATTTTAAGTGTACAGTTCAGTGGTACTAAATAGAGTCATAACATTGTGCAGCTGTTATGTTCTCCATAATTCGTTTCATCTTGTAAAACTGAAACTCTATACCCATTAAACAATACTTCCCCATTTCTTCCTCCCCCCACCTTCTGACAACCATCATTGTACCATCTCTATAATGCTAATCAAGCATAGTGGCTGTGTTTCTTGCTTCCTCTAGTCCGCAGGTAGCATACAAATGTAATAAACTACTTATTCATGTCACATCTATTTATTTTCTGCCTTATACCAAGCTTGTGGGATTCTCTTAAATACAACATTTTTCAACTTACACCTATGCAATACCCATTAGCATCGCCTTCCTAGATCAGGGGAAATTGAGCCTCTGTAAGGTGGAGTAACTTCCTAAGATATAAAACTCAGCATTGAAGTCTGTATACTTCAATATCCTGCCCTCTTCTCATTTGTCTTTACTGCCTTTTATGTATGTGTTAGATGTTCAATAAATTCTCTTTTTTAAACTGAA
The DNA here is from genome assembly GCF_000001405.40 of Homo sapiens. NCBI lineage: Eukaryota > Metazoa > Chordata > Mammalia > Primates > Hominidae > Homo > Homo sapiens. Next base: position 61,090,333 of record NC_000007.14, read on the forward strand.
TTTAAGCTGTGGAGCAGTGTTTTGTTGAACAATAAATATGATATAGGACACTCTTCCTCCCTTTCATTTATGATTCTGTTCATGAAAAAGAGAAATTCTTTCATTGTGCTAGAAGTTTAAAATAATGAAAATGCCACTTTCTACATTAAACAGAAACTGAAGGGAATCAAGGTGAATTGCATGAGACATAGAAAACAAGTGGGAAAGAAATCTAGTATAATTTGCCCTTTGTGTACCTTTATTATTTAGAGTTTGAGTAAATGATTCCCCCAAATATCTTCCCATCTTAATTCATGTCTCTAAAGTAGACATTTATGTCTTACCTTGTCAAGAAGGGCAAACTCTAACATAAACATTTCCCAAAAATGCTTCCTGCTAAAACGTAAGCTCAGTCTGGCTAGAAATGCAGCTCACTTCATAAAGATTAACTGGTAGCTAATTTTGCATGCTGTTCTCTGAACTTGAGTGAAACCTGTCCATCAGGCATACAGGAAATGACAGAAAAGGTGACAACAGAAGATGAATGCTATGTCACTAAACTTCAAAGATAACCTGCCTTTTCTTTCAAATTCTTGATGTCTTAAGACTTCATTAATTTATCTCTCTTTGCCCTTGGTTCAACATTGTGCCATGCCAAAACTCATGTGAAACAATGATCTAATGTAATAAAAATGGCATTTTTCTTTCATGTAGATGCAAGCTAACTGGCATTTTTACAATCCACATATTTCCTTTGTCAATTTTTCATTCTGTATTGGAAGTAATTGATAGGTATTTCTGAAGGGATGAAGGTGATTCTGTGTTCATTGTGATCCAAACTATTTTTAGACCTAGGGGCGTTTGTAAAACAATTTGTGACAGCTGACCAAGGATCACTGTGGCAGAAAGCAGCAAACTTGCATAAGATGTCACTGCCTCAAAAGTTGGCTTTGAAAACTAGGGGCTTACTCTATAGTCTTATGAATCAAAGACATTGATAGATGTAGTGTAAGATTACAATCATAGTTTCCTTTTGACAGTCACATTATAAAGCATGATGTATTGCAATTAATTTCCTTTAGCTGATCACAATTAAAATTAATAATGTTTATTATTGCGGATAAACAATCATGACTCTCCTGTTCTCAAATATGCACATAATTCTTGTAATTTTAATACCAATTTGAATATTATTATTAATTGATTTAATCTCATTGGATTTGGTTCATGGACCCAATTTATTAAAATATTGATAATGGGATAATGACTTGTCTCCCCATTTCATGTAAACTAAAAACAACAATTCTTACAATGGTCTGCAAGCCCATCACGATCTGCCGCATGTTAACCGCCGAAACTCTTTTATATCTTCACCCTTGAACTTACCAATGGTCCTGGCCACCTCACTGTCCTCTGGACATGCCAACATGCTGCTGCCTTATGACAAAGACTCTAGTTAATTTCTTGTCTTGGAAAGATAGCCCTCCATATATCCATTCATCAGCTCATTCAACTTCCTCAAGTCTTTACTGAAACTTCACATTCTCGATGAGGCCTATTCAGTATTTCAAACTGCCTCCCATTTGCAACATTCCAAAACCCCTTACTCTTCTGTGTATTTTTGAAAGGATTTATTGAGATATAATTTACATAGTGTAGAGTGCACACATTAATGTCTACAAGTCAGTGGCTTTTAGTATATGCACAGATAAGTGGAGCCATCATCACATTGAATTTTAGAGCATTTTCATCACTTCAAAAAGAAACCCCACCTTCTCTAGCTGTTAACCTCCTATGCACCCATCCCCTACTCAATCCTAAGCAACCACAAATCTGTTTTCTGTCTCTATAGATTTTCCTATTCTGTTTTCATCTAAATGGAATCATACAATAGGTGGCCTTTTCTGCCTGGCTTCTTTCAGTTGGCATAATGCTATCAAGGTTCATGTACGTATTGGTACTTTATTTCTTTTTATAACTGTATAACATTCAATTTCATGGATAAAACATTTGTTTATCCAATAATATTTTTATTGACATTTGAGTTGTGTTCAGCCTTTGGCTATTTTAAATACTGCTGCTAAAAATATTTGTGTACAATTTGTGTTTGAACACCTCTTTCCAATAATCTGGGTGTATACCTAGGAATAAATTTCTGGGTCATATGACAATTCTATGTTTCACATATTTAGAAGCCATCAAATTATTTTCCAAAGTGGCCAGTTCTAGCCATAGAGTATCTAACTGTGGTTTTGATTTGTAGTTTCCTGATGAGTGATGCTATTGGGTATGTTTTTATGGGATTATTGACCGTTCGTGTGTCTTCTTGGGAAACACATCTATTCCTATCATTTATCAGTTTTGAGTTGGGATATTTGTTACTGAGTTAAAACAATTTTTCTATATTCAAGATTCATATATATACAGATATATAGATACGTGTTTTTCAAATATCTTCTCACAATTTTAGAGCTGCCTTTTGACTTGCTTGGTTATCCTTTGAAACACCAACGTCTTTAATTTTTAAGAAATTTTAAATATCTAATTTTTATTTTGTTGCTCATGTTTTTGGTGTTACAGCTATTTCTTTGCTAGATCCAAAATCCTGAAGATTTTCCCATATGCTTTATTCTAGCTCTTGCATGTGTGTCTTTAATTCATTTGAGTTAATATTATTGTATGCTTTGGGGTAAGGGTTCGAATTTATTATTTTGCAAGTGGGGATCTACGTGTACATTGTTGACCCAGTTTATTCAAAGACTGTCTCTTCCTCATTGAATTGCACATGACACCACTGTAAGAATCCACTGACTATAGACACATAGTTTTCTATATGGACTCTCAATTCTCTTCCATCAATCTATATATTTTTCCTTCATCAGTATTGTGTTGTCTTGATTACTGATACTTTACAGTAAGGTTTGGAGCATGGGGGTGTGAATTATCCTAATATGCTTTCTTTTTTCAAGATTATTCTGGCTATTTGGTGTCCCTTACAATTCCATGTGTATGTTAGAATCAGCTTGTCAATTTCTAGACAGAAGTCTGTTGGGATATTTGCAGGGATTTCATCAAAACTGTAGTTCAAATTGTAAAGTACTACAATATTAAATCTTCCAATTCATGGGTGGAAGATGTTTGCTAATTATTTAGATATTCTTTAAACAATAATTTTTAATTTTCAGAGTAAACTCTTGTATCACATTTTCCAAATTAATTATTATTTCTTTTTTTGATGCTATTTTAAATTGAACTGTTTTCTTAATTTCATTTTGGGGTTTTCATTGTAGATGTGTGCAATTGATTTTTGTACATTTATCTTGTATGCTGTAATATTGCTGAAATAATTTACTAGTTCTATCGTTCAGTGGATTCCTTAAAATTTTCTATATACAAGAATGTTATTTTCAAATCAAGTTTTATTTCTTCCTGTTCAATATGGGTGACTCTTATTTTTATAGTTGCCGATTTGCCCTGCATATAATCTTTAGTACAGTGTTGACTAGAAGAGGTCAAAGTATATATCCTATTCTAATCTCTGACCATAGCAGGAAAGCATCCTTTACCATTAAGTTGCATGCTTGCTGTTGGCTTTTCACAGGTGCCATGTATCTGGTGTAGAAAGTTCTCTATTCCAGGTTCATTGAGTTTTTATTTTTATTTTTAATCATTAAAGCATTTGGATTTTGTTAAAAGTCTTTTCCGAAACTATCGAGATGATCATGGAATTCTCGTTTCTTATTCCATGGATAAGATGTATTACCTTAATGGATTTTGGGCTGTTAAACAAACCTGGGATTACTTGTATAAATTTCACTTTGTCATAGTGTATAATTCTTTCATATGTTGCTAAATCTGACTTTTTAGTATTTTTTAAGGAATTTTGCATTTATACTTATAGTAGTTTTATTTTTCTATGCTATTTGGACTAATTTTTGTATCAAGGTAACACTGGCCCCACAGAATAAATTGGGAAGTGAATATTTCTCTCTTTTAAAAAAGCTAGTCAAGAATTAATATCAATTATTCAACACTAACAAATATTATTATTATAAATTATTAATTTCTCTAATTTTTATTTTCTTCCTTCTGCTTGCTTTAGGTTTAGTTTGCTATTCTTTCCAGTGCCTTAATGTGGAAGGTCATCTTATCTCATCCTTTCATTTGTCTTTTCATTTTCTAAATAGTGTCTTTTTAGCATCAGGTGAGCTCCCCAGGTTGGTAGTACTCCATGTTTATTGCTGTACAACAGTGACAGGTAATATGTCCTGAAGACAATGGAATCTTAACATTCAAAATCTCCTAGATTCCACCTTATATGATATGTCTCTTCAATTGGTCCTAATTTCTACCCTTTCTCTATTATAAACCATGAGTACAATGACATTCAATGAGTTCTGTGAGTCTTTCTAGTAAATTCTAGAAACTGAGGGTGTTCAGGGGAAACCCCTGAACTGGCAGTTGGTGTCAGAAGTGAGAATCGTCTTATATGGCCTCTTCCTTTGAACTTTGCAGCTGGACGCAAACTCTGCACAATTTGGGCCAGAAGTCTCGTGTTGACTTTGCAGCCTAAAGTATCTTGTAGTTTGTCTAACCCTCAATAAATATGCTTTCATCAAATATTGTATTTGTTACCCCAAAATTACCATCATGTTTTTTTTTCTCCAAATAACTAACATTGGGAGAAATAGCCAGCTGAGTCTGTAACTCAACAGAAAAAAGCGATCCATATACCATATACCATATAAGTGGCCATTTCATTTTGCCTTCTTCCACCAAATCTTAGCAACCTCAACAATTGCATGAGCCACTGTAGGCCTACCAGCTACAAACAAACAAGTATCTTTTAAAAACACTTCTTACTCCCATTTGATAAATTTCCCAGCAAAGAGATGCCTACTTTAACTCTATGCAAGTGGCTCATATTCACGAAGTCTGTAGATATTATTCAGGTAGTGTGAGAAAATCATCCCAGCGATGCCAGCACATTCTCCTTCCCATGATCTGCTTAGTTTGCAAACATATTCAGGCCATGGGTGAGAGATTTGTATTTCACAGTACAACAATTTTATGGAGGGCATTGAAACTTACCTTGAGCATTTTAGTACAGTCACACGTCACTGAATGATAGGGATACATTCTAACAGATGTATCCATAGGCAATTTCATCATTTTGCAAACATCACAGAGAATATTACAAACACCTAGATTGTACAGCCTACCACGTCTAAGTTATATGGTGTAGTCTCTCTCTCCCAGGTTACAAACCTGTGTACTACATTACTGTACTGAATACTGCAGGCAATAAGAACACAGTGGTAAGAGGTTATGTATCTTGTTATTATGCATGACATGACTCTATGACAAAAATAAAATAACACATTGTAAAAAATGTACACAGGTGTCAAACATATTAATATTGTAAAAATAAAAATATTTATTCAGTGTAAGAATTTGTAATGATCACAAAATATTCACAGCTTATATTTTAGTACAGTTTCAAATGCCTAGTGCAATTACTATTTATTTCTGTGTGTATTTTAAACATGTATATAATAAATATTTTTCAGGTTCAACAATATATATCAATCCAACTGGCTCTTATAAATATTAGTTACAATCAATTAATAAATTCTTATGTATATATACACACGTGTATCAGTCTGTATGCATGTATGTGTGTGTAAATGTAACTGGATGCATCCTAATATTTACCCTTACCTACAAGATTTCTAAGATTCATTTATTATCTTTTGATGCTGTGCATTTAAAGATTTACCAAAGAAAATGCTAATCGTGGAAAATATCAATGTTATTAAATTCATCTTGTGCACATAATTGTTTCTTTAAATTTATGTTTCTTGCAAAACTTGCGGTAATGCTCATGCACAAAATAATTTTCTAAATAAAAAATAAAAACATTTTCTCAGTCATTAATTCTTAATAATTATTTCTCCCCAATAATTAATGTGAATTAATTCTTAATTATATAAAAAGGAAATCTGTTCCCATAAAAACTAGACAGAAGCATTCTCAGAAACTTGTTCATGATGTGTGTACTCAACTAACAGAATTGAACCTTTCTTTTGTTAGAGCAGTTTTGAAACACTCTTTTTGTAGAATCTGCAAGTTGATATTTGGATAGATTTGAGGATTTCATTGGAAACGGGAATATCTTCATATAAAAAGTAGACAGAAGCATTCTGAGAAACTTTTTGTGATGTTTGCATTCAAGTCACAGAGTTCAACATTCTCTTTCATAGAGCACGTTTGAAACACTCCCTTTGTAGTATCTGGAAGTTGACATTTGGAGCGCTTTGAGGTCTATGGTGAAAAAGGAAATCTCTTCCCATAAAAACTAGACAGAAGCATTCTCAGAATCTTGTTTGTGATGTGTGTGCTCAACTAACAGAGTTGAACCTGTCTTTTGATAGAGCAGTTTTGAAACACTCTTTTTGTAGAATCTGCACGTGGATATTTGGATAGCTTGCAGGATTTCGTTGGAAAAGGGAATATCTTTATATAAAAAGTAGACAGAAGCATTCTCCGCAATTTCTTTGTGATGTTTGCTTTCACGTCACAGAATTGAACATTTCCTTTCATAGAGCAGGTTTGAAATACTCCTTTTGTAGTGTCTGGAAGTGGACATTTGGAGCACTTTGAGGCCTATGGTGAAAAAGGAAATCTCTTCCCATAAAAACTAGACAGAAGCATTCTCAGAAACTTGTTTGTGATGGTTGTGCTCAACTAACAAATTTGAACCTTTCTTTTGATAGAGCAGTTTTGAAACACTCTTTTTGTAGAATCTGCAAGTGGATATTTTGATAGCTTTGAGTATTTCGTTTCAAACGGGAATATCTTCATATAAAAAGTAGACAGAAGCATTCACAGAAACAACTTTGTTTTGTTTACATTCAAGTCACAGATTTGAACATTCTCTTTCATAGGGCACGTTTGAAATACTCCTTTTGTAGTATCTGGAAGTGGACATTTTGAGTGCTTTGAGGCCTATGGTGAAAAACGAAATATCTTCACATAAAAAGTAGACAGAAGCATTCTCAGAAACTACTTTGTGATGTGTGTACTCAACTCACAGAGTTGAACCTTTCTTTTGATAAAGCAGTTTTGAAACACTCTTTTTGTAGAATCTGCAAGTTGATATTTGGATAGATTTGAGGATTTCGTTGCAAATGGGAATATCTTCACATAAAAACTACACAGAAGCATTCTCATGAACACCTTTATGATGTTTGCTTACAACTCACAGATTTGAACATTCTCTTTCATAGGGCAGATTTGAAACACTCTTTTTGTACTATCTGGAATTGGACATTTTGACCGTTTTGAGTCCTATGGTGAAAAAGGAAATATCTTCACATAAAAACTAGACAGAAGCATTCTCAGAAACTTCTTTGAGATGTGTGTACTCAACTCACAGAGTTGAATATTTCTTTTGATACAGCGATTTTGAAACTCTCTTTTTTTAGAACGTGCAAGTTGATATTTGGATAGCTTTGAGGCTTTCGTTGGAAACGGGAATATCTTCACATAAAAACTAGACAGAAGCATTCTCAGAAACGTCTTTGTGATGTTTGCATTCAACTCACAGAGTTGAACATTCCTTTTAATAGAGCAGTTTTGTAACACACTTTTTGAAGAATCTGTTGGTGGAAATTTTAGCGCTTTGAGGCCTCTGGTGAAAAAGAAATATGTTCCCATAAAAACTACACAGAAGAATTCTCAGAAACTTCTGTGTGATGTGTATACTCCACTCACAGAGTTGAACTTTTCCTTTGATGGAGCAGTTTTGAAACACTCTTTTTGTAGAGTCTGCAAGTGGATATTTGGATAGCTTTGAGGATTTCATTGGAATCGGGAATGTCTTCACATAAAAACTAGAGAGAAGCATTCTCAGAAACTTCTTTGTGATGTTTGGATTCAACTCACAGAGTTGAACTTTTCCTTTGATAGAGCAGTTTTGAAGCACTCTTTTTGTAGGGTCTGAAAGTGGATATTTGGATAGCTTTGAGGATTTCGTTGGAATCGGGAATATCTTCACATAAAAACTAGAGAGAATCATTGTCAGAAACTTCTTTGTGATGTTTTCATTCAACACACAGAGTTGAACATTTGTATTCATAGCACAGTTTTGAAACACTCTTTTTATAGAATCTGCAAGTGGACATTTGGAGTGATTTGGGACCTATGGTGAAAAAGGAAATATCTTCACATAAAAGGTAGACAGAAGCATTCTCAGAAACTACTTTGTTATGTGTGTACTCCACTCAGAGTTAAACCTTTCCTTTGATACAGCAGTTTTGAAACACTCTTCTTGTAGAATTTACAAGCGGATATTTGGACAGCATTGAGATTTTCATTGGAAACGGGAATATCTTCACATAAAAGTAGACAGAAGCATTCTCAGAAACTTTCTTTTGATGTTTGCATTCAACTCACAGAGTTGAAACTTTCTTTTGACAGAGCAGATTGGAAACCCTCTGTTGGTAATATTTGCAAGTGGATATTTGGACAACTTTGAGGCCTACGGTGGGAACGGGTATATATTCACAAAGAAACTAGACGGAAGCATTCTCAGAAACATCTTTGTGATGCTTGCATTCAACTCACAGAGGAGAACATTCCTTTACATAGAACAGTTTTGAAACACTCTTTTTGAAGAATCTGTAGGTGGAAACTTGGAGCATTTTGTGGCCTTTGGTGAAAAAGAAATATCTTTACATAAAAAGTAGAAAGAAGCATTCTCAGAAACTACTTTGTCATGAGTGTACTCAACTCAAAGAGTTAAATCTTTCCTTTGATACAGCAGTTTTGGAATACACTTCTTGTAGAATTTACATGGGGATATTAGGACAGGATTGAGGATTTCGTTGGAAATGGGAATATCTTCACATAAAAACTAGACAGAAGGATTCTCAGAAAATTTTTTGTGATGCTTGCATTCAACTCACAGAGTTGAACATTCCCTTTCATAGAGCCGTTTTGAAACACTCTTTTTGTAGTATATGGAAAAGCATATTTGGAGCCCTTTGAGGCCTATGGTGAAAAAGGAAATATCTTCACATAAAAACTAGACAGAGGCATTATCAGAAACTTCTTTGTGATGGTGTACTCAACTCACAGAGTTGATCCTTTCTTTTGATACAGCAGTTTTGAAACACTGTTTTGTAGAATATGCAAGTGGATATTTGGATAGCTTTGAGGATTTCGTTGGAAACGGGAATATCTTCACGTAAAAACTAGAGAGAAGCATTCTAAGAAACTTCTTTGTTATGTTTGCATTCAACTCACAGAGTTGAACATTCTCTTTCATAGAGCACTTTGAAACACATTTTTTGTAGTATCCGGAATTGGACATTTGGAGCACTTTGAGGTCTACGGTGAAAAAGGAAATATGTTCACATAAAAACTAGACAGAAGCATTGTCAGAAACTTCTTAGTGATGTGTGTACTCTATGCACATATTTGAACCTTTGTCTCATTACAGCAGTTTTGAAACACTCTTTTTGTAGAATCTGCAAGTGGATATTTGGATAGATTTGAGGTTTTCTTTGGAAACGTGAAAATCTTCACATAAAAACTAGACAGAAGCATTCTCTGAAACTTCTTTGAGATGCTTGCATTCAAATCACAGAGGTGAACATTCCTTTTCATAGAGCAGTTTTGAAACACTCTTTTTGTAGAATCTGCAAGTGGACATTTGGAGCATTTGAGACCTATGGTGAAAAAGGAAATATCTTCACATAAAAGTAGACAGAAGCATTCTCAGAAACTACTTTGCGATGTGTGTACTCAATTCACAGAGTTAAACCTTCCCTTTGATACAGCAGTTTTGAAACACTCTTCTTGTAGAATTTACAGGCGGATATTTGGACAGCATTGGGGTTTTCGTTGGAAACTGGACTATCTTAACATAAAACTAGACAAAAGCATTCTCAGAAAGTTCTATGTGATGTGTGCATTCAACTCACAGCGTTGAAACTTTCTTTTGAAAGAGCAGATTAGAAACCCTCTCTTTGTAGAATTTACAAGGGGATATTTGGACAGCTTTGAAGCCTCGCTGGAAACCGGTATATATTCACAAAAAAAATAGACAGAAGCATTCTCAGAAACTACTTTGTGATGCTTGCATTCAACTCACAGAGTTGAACATTCCTTTTCACAGAGCACTTTTGAAACACTCTTTTTGTAGAATCTGTAAGTGGAAACTTGGAGCGCTTTGAGGCCTTTGGTGAAAAAGGAAATATCTCCCCTTAAAAACTAGACAGAAGAATTCTCAGAAACTTCTTTGTGAACTGTGTACTCAACTCACTGATTTGAACTTTTCTTTTGATAGAGCAGTTTTGAAACACTCTTTTTGTAGAGTCTGCAAGTGGATATTTGGATAGCTTTGAGGATTTCTTTGGAAACGGGAATACCTTCACATAAAAACTAGACAGAAGCATTCTCAGAAACTTCTTTGTGATGTTTGCATTCAACTCACAGAGTTGAACATTCCCTTTCATAGAGCAGTTTTGAAACACTCTTTTTGTAGGGTCTGCAAGTGCATATTTGGATAGCTTTGAGGATTTCTTTGGAAACGGGAATACCTTCACATAAAAACTAGACAGAAGCATTCTCAGAAACTTCTTTGTGATGTTTGCATTCAAATCACAGAATTGAACATTCCCTTCCATAGAGCAGTTTTGAAACACTCTTTTTGAAGTATCTGGAAGTGGATATTTGTAGCGCTTTGAGGCCTATGGTGAAAAAGGAAATATCTTCACATAAAAACTAGACAGAAGCATTCTCAGAAACTTGTTTGTGATGTGTGTACTCAACTCACAGAGTTGAACCATTCTTTTGGTACAGCAGTTTTGAAACACTCTTTTTGTACAATCTGGAAGTGGATATTTTGATAGCTTTGAGGCTTTCGTTGGAAACGGCAATATCTTCACATAAAAACTAGACAGAAGCACTCTCAGAAAATCCTTTGTGATGTTTGCTTTCAACTCACCGAGTTGAACACTCATTTTCTTAGAGCAGTTTTGAAACACTCTTTTTGTAGAATTTGCAAGTGGACATTTGGACAGCTTTGAGGCCTTCACTGAAAACGGGTATATATTCACAAAAAAACTAGACAGAAGCACTCTCAGAAACTTCTTTGTGATATGTGTACTCAACTCACAGAGTTGATCCTTTCTTTAGAAACAGCAGTTTTTAAACACTCTTTTGTAGAATCTGCAAGTGGATATTTATATAGCTTTGAGGCTTTCGTTGGAAACGGGAATATCTTCACATAAAAACTAGACAGAAGCATTCTCAGAAACTTCTTTGTGATATTTTCATTCAACTCACAGAGTTGAACATTCCTTTTCATAGAGCAGTTTTGAAACACTCTTTTTGTAGAATCTGCAAGTGGACATTTGGAGCGATTTGAGACCTATGGTGAAAAAGGAAATATCTTCACATAAAAAGTAGACGGAAGCATTCTCAGAAACTAATTTGTGGTGTGTGTACTCAACTCACATAGTTAAACCTTTCCTTTGATACAGCAGTTTTGAAACACTCTTATTGTAGAATTTACAAGTGGATATTAAGACAGCATTGAGGATTTCCTTGGAAACGGTAATATCTTCGCATAAAACTAGACAGAAGCATTCTCACAAACTTCTCGGTGATGTGTGCATTCAATTCACAGAGTTGAAACTTTCTTTTGATGGAGCAGATTGGAAACCTTCTTTTTGTAGAATTTCCAAGTGGATATTTGAACAGCTTTGAGGCCTTCGCTGGAAACGGGTATATATTCACAAAAAAACTAGACAGCAGCATTCTCAGAAACTTCTTTCTGATGCTTGCATTCAACTCACAGAGTAGAACATTCTTTTCATAGAGCAGTTTTGAAATACTCTTTTTGTAGAATCTGTAAGTGGAAACTTGGAGCACTTTCAGGTCTTTGGTGAAAAACGAAATATCGTCCCATAAAAACTAGACAGAAGAATTCTCAGAAACTTCTTTGTGATGTGTGTACTCAACTCACAGAGTAGAACTTTTCTTCTCATGGAACAGTTTTGAAACACTCTTTTTGTAGAATCTGCAAGGGGATTTTGGATTGCTTTGAGGATTTCGTTGGAAACGGGAATATCTTCATATAAAAAGTAGGCTGAAACATTCTCAGAAACTTCTTTGTGATGTTTGCATTCAGCTCACAGAGTTGAACATTCCCTTTCATAGAGCAGTTTTGAAACACTCTTTTTGTAGTATCTGGAAGTGAACATTTGGAGCGCTTTGAGGCCTGTGGTGAAAAAGGAAATATCTTCCCATAAAAACTAGGCAGAATCATTCTCAGAAACTTCTTTGTGATGTGTGTACTCAACTCACAGATTTGAACCTTTCTTTTTTTATAGCAGTTTTGAAACACTCTTTTTGTAGAATCTGCAAGTGGATATTTGTATAGCTTTGAGGCTTTTATTGGAAACGGGAGTATCTTCACATAAAAACTAGACAGAAGCATTCTAGGTAAATTCTTTGTGATGTTTGCATTCAACTCACAGAGTTGAACATATCTCTTCATAGAGCAGTACTGAAACACTCTTTTCGTAGAATTTGCAAGTGGATATTTAGACTGCTTTGAGGCCTTCATTAGAAACGGGAATATCTTCACATATAAGCTAGACAGAAGAATTCTCAGAAACTTCTTTGTGATGTGTACAGTCAACTCACAGAGTTTAACCTTTCTTTTGATAGAACAGTTTTTAAACAATCTTTTTGTAGAATCTGCAAGTGGACATTTGGAGAGCTTTCAGGCCTGTGTTGGAAAACGAAATATCTTCACATAAAAACTAGACAGAAGCCTTGTCAGAAACCTCTTTGTTTTATTTTATTTCATTTTATTTTATTTTTTTTTATTATTATGCTTTAAGTTTTAGGGTACATGTGCACATTGTGCAGGTTAGTTACACATGTATACATGTGCCGTGCTGGTGCGCTGCACCCACTAACTCGTCATCTAGCATTAGGTATATCTCCCAATGCAATCCCTCCCCCCTCCCCCCACCCCACCACAGTCCCCAGAGTGTGATATTCCCCTTCCTGTGTCCATGTGATCTCATTGTTCAATACCCACCTATGAGTGAGAATATACGGTGTTTGGTTTTTTGTTCTTGCAATAGTTTACTGAGAATGATGATTTCCAATTTCATCCATGTCCCTACAAAGGACGTGAACTCATCATTTTTTATGGCTGCATAGTATTCCATGGTGTATATGTGCCACATTTTCTTAATCCAGTCTATCATTGTTGGACATTTGGGTTGGTTCCAAGTCTTTGCCATTGTGAATAATGCTGCAATAAACATATGTGTGCCTGTGTCTTTATAGCAGCATGATTTATAGTCCTTTGGGTATATACCCAGTAATGGGATGGCTGGGTCAAATGGTATTTCTAGTTCTAGATCCCTGAGGAATCGCCACACTGACTTCCACAATGGTTGAACTAGTTTACAGTCCCACCAGCAGTGTAAAAGTGTTCCTATTTCTCCACATCCTCTCCAGCACCTGTTGTTTCCTGACTTTTTAATGATCGCCATTCTAACTGGTGTGAGATGGTATCTCATAGTGGTTTTGATTTGCATTTCTCTGATGGCCAGTGATGACGAGCATTGTTTTCATGTGTTTTTTGGCTGCATAAATGTGTTCTTTTGAGAAGTGTCTGTTCATATCCTTCACCCACTTTTTGATGGGGTTGTTTGTTTTTTTCTTGTAAATTTGTTTGAGTTCATTGTAGATTCTGGATATTAGCCCTTTGTCAGATGAGTAGGTTGCGAAAATTTTCTGCCATTCTGTAGGTTGCCTGTTCACTCTGATGGTAGTTTCTTTTGCTGTGCAGAAGCTCTTTATTTTAATTAGATCCCATTTGTCAATTTTGTCTTTTGTTGCCATTGCTTTTGGTGTTTTGGACATGAAGTCCTTGCCCATGCCTATGTCCTGAATGGTAATGCCTAGGTTTTCTTCTAGGGTTTTTATGGTTTTAGGTCTAATGTTTAAATCTTTAATCCATCTTGAATTGATTTTTGTATAAGGTGTAAGTAAGGGATCCAGTTTCAGCTTTCTACATATGGCTAGCCAGTTTTCCCAGCACCATTTATTAAATAGGGAATCCTTTCCCCATTGCTTGTTTTTCTCAGGTTTGTCAAAGATCAGATAGTTGTATATATGTGGCATTATTTCTGAGGGCTCTGTTCTGTTCCATTGATCTATGTCTCTGTTTTGGTACCAGTACCATGCTGTTTTGGTTACTGTAGCCTTGTAGTATAGTTTGAAGTCAGGTAGCGTGATGCCTCCAGCTTTGTTCTTTTGGCTTAGAATTGACTTGGTGATGCGGGCTCTTTTTTGGTTCCATATGAACTTTAAAGTAGTTTTTTCCAATTCTGTGAAGAAAGTCATTGGTAGCTTGATGGGGATAGCATTGAATCTGTAAATTACCTTGGGCTGTATGGCCATTTTCACGATATTGATTCTTCCTATGGGTGCAAAAATCACAAGCATTCTTATACACCAAAAACAGACAAACAGAGAGCCAAATCATGAGTGAACTCTCATTCACAATTGCTTCAAAGAGAATAAAATACCTAGGAATCCAACTTACAAGGGATGTGAAGGACCTCTTCAAGGAGAACTACAAACCACTGCTCAAAGAAATAAAAGAGGATACAAACAAATCAGAAACCTCTTTGTGATGTGTGCATTCAACTCACGTAGTTGAACATACCTTTTCTGAGAGCAGTTTTAAAACACTGTTTCCTTAATATCTGCAAGTGGATATTGGGACTGCTTGAGGCCTTCCTTGGAAACGGGGATATCTTCACATAAAAAGTAGACAGAAGCATTCTCAGAAACTTCTTTGTGATGTGTGTATTCAACTCACAGAGTTGAACCTTTCTTTTGATAGAAAAGTTTTGAAACACTCTTTTTGTAGAATCTGGAATTGGACTTTAGGAAAGCTTTGAGGCCTATGGTGGAAAAGGAAATATCTTCACATAAAAACCTGACAGAAGCATTCTCAGAAACTACTTTGTGATGTTTGCATTCAGCTCATAGAGTTGAATATACCTGTTCATAGAGGAGTTCTGAAACACTCTTTCTGTAGAATTTGCAGAATATTTGGACTGCATGGAGTCTTTCACTGGAAACGGGAATATCTTCATATACAAGCTAGACAGAAGCATTCTCAGAAACTTCTTTGGGATGTGTGCATTCAACTCACAGAGTTGAACCTTTCTTTTGATAGAGCAGTTTTGAAACACTCTTTTTGTACAATCTGCAAGTGGACATTTGGAAAGCTTTTAGGCCTGTGGTGGAAAAGGAAATATCTTCACATAAAATCTAGACAGAAGCATTCTCAGAAACTTCTTTGTGATGTCTGCATTCAACTCACAGAGGTGAAACTTTCCTTTGAACGAACAGTTGTGAAACACTCTTTTGGTAAAATCTGCGAGTGGACATTTGGAGAGCTTTGAAGCCTATGGTGGAAAAGGAAATATCTTCACATAAAATCTAGACAGAAGAATTATCAGAAACTTCTTTGTGACGAGTGCATTCAACTCAGATTTGAACCTTTCTTTTCATAGAGCAGTTTTGAGACACTCTTTTTGTAGAATCTCTTAGTGAATTTATGGTGGGTTAGAAGGCTATGCTGTAAAACGAAATATTTTCACATAAAAACTAGACAGAAGCATTCTCAGAAACTTCTTTGGGACGTTTCCATTAAACCCACAGAGCTGAACCTTTCTTTTGATAGAACAGTTTTGAAACACTGTTTTTGTAGAATCTGCCAGTGAACATTTGTAGTGGTTTGAGGCCTATGGAGGAAAAGGAAATATCTTCACACAAAAACCAGACAGAAGCATTCTCAGAAATTTCTTTGTGATGTTTGCATTCAACTGAAAGCATTGAACATACCTGTTCATAGAGTCATACAGAAACACTCTTTTCGTAGAATCTGCAAGTGGATATTTCGACTGCTTTGAGGCCTTCGTTGGAAACGGGAATATCTTCACATATAAGCTAGACAGAAGAATTCTCAGAAATATTTTGTGATGTGTACATTCAGCTCACAGAATTGAACCTTTCTTTTGATAGAACAGTTTTTAAACACTGTTTTTGAAGAATCTGCAAGTGCACATTTGGAGGGATTTGAGGCCAGTGGTGGAAAAGGAAATATCTTCACATAAAAACTAGACAGAAGCATTCTCAGAAACTTCTTTGAGACGTGTGCATTCAACTCACAGAGTTGAACATACTTTTTCTTAGAGCACTTTTGAAACACTCTTTTTGGAGAATCTGCAAGTGGATATTGAGACTGCCTTGAGGCCTTCTTAGGAAACGAGAATATCTTCACATAAAAAGTAGACAGAAGCATTCTCAGAAACTTATTTGTGAAGTGTGCATTCAACTCACAGATTTGAAACTTTCTTTTGGTAGAGCAGTTTTGAAACACTCTTTTTGTAGTATCTGAAATTGGAAATTAAGAGAGCTTTGTGGCCTATGGTGGAAAAGGAAATATCTTCACATGAAAACCAGAGGGAAGCATTCTCAGAAACTACTTTATGATGTGTGCATTCACCTCACAGAGTTGAACATACCTCTTCATAGAGGAGTTCTGAAACACTCTTTTTGTAGAATCTGCAAGTGGATATTTGGACTGCCTGGAGACCTTCACTGTAAACGGGAATATCTTCACATATAAGCAAGACAGAAGCATTCTCAGAAACTTCTTTGTGATGTGTGCATTCAACTCACAGAGTTGAACCTTTCTTTTGATAGAGCAGTTTTGAAAAGATCTTTTTGTAGAATCAGTAAGTGGACATTTGGAAAGCTTTGTGGCCAATGGAAGAAGAGGAAATATCTTCACATAAAAACTGGACAGAAGTATTCTCGAAAACTTCTCTGTAATGTTTGCATTCAATTCACAGAGTGGAACGTAACTTTTCATAGAGCAGTTTTGAAACACTCTTTTCTTAGAATCTGCAAGTGGATATTTAGACTGCTTTGAGGCCTTCGTTGGAAACGGGAATATCTTCACATAAAACTATACAGAAGCATTCTCAGAAACTTCTTTGTGATGTGTGTGTTCAACTCACAGAGTTCAACCTTTCTTCTGTTAGAGCAGTTTTGAAACACTCTTTTTGCAGAATTCGCAAGTGGACATTAGGAGAGCTTTGAAGCCAACGGTGGAAAAGGAAATCTCTTAACATAAAAAGTAGACAGAAGCATTTTCAGAAACTTTTTGTGATGTTTTCATTCAACTCAAAGAGTTGAACATACCTTTTCATAGAGCAGTACTGAAACACTCTTTTCGTAGAATCTGCAAGTGCACATTTGGAGAGCTTTGAGGCCTGTGGTGGAAAAGGAAATAACTTCACATAAAAACTAGACAGAAGCATCCTCAGAAACTTCATTGAGACGTGTGCATTCCACTCACAGAGTTGAACATACCTTTTCTTAGAGCACTTTTGAAACACTCTTTTCGTAGATTCTGCAAGTGGATATTGGGACTGCTTTGAAGCCTTCTTGGGAAACGGGAATATCTTCACATAAAAAGTAGACAGAAGCATTCTCAGAAACTTCTTTGTGATGTGTGCATTCAACTCATGGTGTTGAACCTTTCTTTTGATAGAGCACTTTTGAAACTCTCTTTTTCTAGAATCTTCAAGTGGTCATTTGGAAAGCTTTGAGGCCTATGGAGGAAAAGGAAATATCTTCACATAAAAACTAGACAGAAGTATTCTCACAAACTTCCTTGTAATGTGCGCATTCAATTCACAGAGTTAAACCTTTCTTTTGATAGAGCAGTTTTGAAACACTCTTTTTGTAGAATCTGCAAGTGGATATTTGGAGCACTTTGAGGCCTATGGTGGAAAAGCAAATGTCTTCACATGAAATCTAGACAGAAGGATTCTCAGAAACTTCTTTGTGATGTGTGCATTAAACTCACAGAGTTGAACCTATCTTTTGATGGAGCAGTTTTGAAACACATATTTTATAGAAACTGGAAGTGGATATTTTGTTCCCTTTGAGGCCTATGATGAAAAATGAACTATCTTCACATAAATCTAGCAGAATTCACCCAAACTTCTTTGTGATGTGTGCACTCAACTCACAGTGTTGAAAGTTTCTTTTGATTGAGCAGTTTTGAAACACTCTTTTGTATAATCTGAAAGTTGATATTTCTTTCCTTTTGAGGCTTATGTTGGAAAACGAAATATCTCCTCATAAAAACTAGACAGAAGTATTCTCAGTAACTTCTTTGTGATGTGTGCATTCATCTCACAGAATTGAACGTTTCTTTTGACAGAGCAGTTTTGAAACACTTTCTTTGTAGAATCTGCACGTGGATGTTTGGAGCACTTTGAGGCCTATGGTGGAAAAGGAAATATCTTCACATAAAAACTAGACAGAAGCCATCTCAGAAGCTTCCTTGTGATGTGCGCATTCAACTCACAGAGTTGAACCTATCTTTTGATAGAGCAGTTTTGAAACTCACATTTTGTAGAATCTGCAGGTGGATATTAGGAGTGATTTGAGGCCTATGGAGGAAAAGGAAATATCTTCACATAAAAACTAGACAGAAGTCATCTCAGAAACTTCTTTGTGATGTGCGAATTCAACTCACAGAGTTGAACCTATCTTTTGATAGAGCAGTTTTGAAAGTCTTTTTGTAGTATCTCCAAGTGAATATATGGAGGGCTTAGAGGGCTATGTTGTAAAAGGAAATATATTCACATAAAAACTAGACAGAATCATTCTCAGAAACTTCCCTGTGATTTGTGCATTCAACTCGAAGAGTTCAAAAGTTCTTTTGATAGAGCAGTTTGGAAACACTCTTTTTGTAGAATCGGCAAGTGGATATTTGGAGCGCTTTGAATCCTATGTTGGAAAAGGAAATACCTTCACATAAAAACTATACAGAAGCATTTTCAGAAACTTTTTGTGATGTGTGCATTCAACTCACAGATTTGAACCTATCTTTTAATAGAGCAGTTTTGAAACACTCATTTTGTAGAAACTGCAAGTGGATATTTTGTTCCCTTTGAGGCCTATGATGGTAAACGAACTATCTTCACATAAATCTAGACAGAATTCACCCAAGCTTCTTTGAGATGCTTGCATTCAACTCACAGAGTTGAAACTTTCTTTTGATAGAGCAGCTTTGAAACACTCTCTTTGCAGTATCTGCACATGGATGATTGGAGCACTTTGAGGCCTGTGGTGGAAAAGGAAATATCTTCACATAAAAACTAGACAGATGTGTGCATTCAACTCAAAGAGTTGAAACTTTCTTTTGATAGAGCAGTTTTGAAACACTCTTTTTGTAGAATCTGCAGGTGGATATTTGTAGTGCTATGTGGCCTATGGCGGAAAAGGAAATATCTTCACATAAAAACTAGACAGAAGAATTCTCAGAAACTTCTTTGATATGTGTTCATTTAACTCATAGATTTGAACCTTTCTTTTGATAGAGCAGTTTTGAAACTCTCTTTCTGTAGAATCTCCAAGTGAATATATGGAAGGCTTAGAGGGCTATGTTGTAAAACGAAATATCTTCACATAAAAAATTGAAAGAAGCATTCTGAGAAACTTCCCTGTGATGTGCGCATTCAACTCAAATAGAGCAGTTCGGAAACACTCTTTTTGTAGAATCTGCAAGTGTATATTTTGTTCCATTTGAGGCCTTTGGTGGAAAAGGAAATGTCTTCACATGAAAACTGGACAGAAGAATTCTCAGAAACTTCTTTGTGATGTGTGCATTCAACTCACAGAGTTGAACCTATCTTTTGATGGAGCAGTTTTGAAACACACATTTTGTAGAAACTGCAAGTGGATATTTTGTTCCCTTTGAGTCCTATGATGGAAAATGAACTATCTTCACATAAATCTAGACAGAATTCACCCAAACTTCTTTGTGATGTGTGCATTCAACTCACAGTGTTGGAAGTTTCTTTTGATTGAGCAGTTTTGAAACACTCTTTTTGTAGAATCTGCAAGTGGATATTTGGAGCGATTTGAGGCCTATGGTAGAAAATGAAATATCTTCATGTAAAAACTAGACAGAAGCATTCTCAGAAACTACTATGTGATGTCTTCATTCAGCTCACAGATTTGAACCTTCCTTTGATAGAGCAGTGTTGAAACACTCTTTTTGTAGAATCTGCAAGTGGATATATGAAGCGCTATGCAGTCTATGGAAGAAAAGGAAATATCTTCATATAAAAACTAGACAGAAGCATTATCAGAAACTAATTAACGATGTGTACATTCAACTCACAACGTTGAAACTTTCTTTTGATAGAGCAGTTTTGAAACATTCTTTTCGTAGAATCTGCAAGTGGATATACAGAGCACTTTGAGACATTCGGTGGCAATGGGAATATCTTAACATAAAAAGTTGACAGAAACATTTTCAGAAACTCCTTTGTGATGTGCACACTCAACTCAAAGAGTTAAACCTTTCTTTTGATAGAGAAGTTTTGAAACACTCTTTTTGTACAATCTGCAAGTGGATATATAGAGTGCTTTGAGGTCTTTGGTAGAAAAGGAAATATCTTCATATCAAAACTAGACAGAAGCATTTGGTGATGTGTGCATTCAACTCACAGAGCTGGACCTTTCTTCTGATAGAGCAGTTTTGAAACACTCGTTTTGTATAATCTGCAAGTTGATATTTGGATAGCTTTGAGGCTTTTGTTGGAAACGGGAATATCTTCACATAAAAACTAGACAGAGACATTCTCAGAAACTACTTTGTGATGTGTGCATTCAACTCACAGTGTTGAACCTTTCTTTTGATAGAGCAGCTTGGAAACACTCTTTTTGTAGAATCTGCAAGTGGCCATTTGGAGAGCTTTGAGGCCTATGGTGGAAAGGGAAATATCTTCACATGAAAACTAGACAGAAGCATACTCAGAAACTTCTTTGTGATGTGTGCATTCAACTCACACATTTGAACTCACCTTTTCATAGAGCGGTTTTGAAACACTCTTTTTGTAGTATCTGCAAGTGGATATTTGGGCCGGTTTGAGGCTTTCGTAGGAAACGGCAATATCTTCCCATAAAATTAGACAGAACCATTCTCAGAAATTTCTTTGTGATGTGAGCATTCAACTCACAGTGTTGAAACTTTCCTTTAATAAAGTAGTTTTGAAACACTGTTTTTGTAGCATCTGTAAGTTGATATTTGGACCACTTTGAGGCCTTCGTTGGAAAAGGGAATATCGCACCTGAAAACTAGAGAGAAGAATGCTCAGTAACTTCTTTGTGATTTGTGCATTCAACACACAGAGTTGAAGCTTCGTTTTGATAGAGCAGTATTGAAACACTCTTTTTGTAGTATCTTCAAGTGGATATACTGAGCGCTTTGAGGCCTTCAGTGGAAACGGGAATATCTTCCCATAAAAACTAGACAGAAACACTTTCACAAACTTCTTTGTGATGTGCGCATTCAGCTCACAGAGTTGAAACTTCCTTTTGATAGAGCAGTTATGAAACAATCTTTTTGTAGAATCTGCAAGTGGATATAAGGTTCGCTTTGAGGCCTATGGAAGGAAAGGAAATATCTTCATGTAAAAAATAGACAGAAACATTCTTAGAAACTACTTAGTGATGTGAGCATTCAACTCTCTGAGCTGAAACTTTCTTTTGATAGAGCAGTTTTGAAACACTCGTTTTGTAGAATCCGCAAGTGGATATATGGACCGCTTTGTGGCCTATGGTAGAAAAGGAAATATGTTCATATAAAAACTAGACAGAAGCATTCTAAGAAAATGTTTGTGTTGTGTGCATTCAACTCACAGATTTGAAACTTTCTTTTGATAGAGACGTTTTGAATCATTCTTTTTGTATAATCTGCAAGTGGACATTTGGAGCACTATGAGGTCTGTGGTGGAAAAGAAATATCTTCATATAAAAACTAGACAGAAGCATTGTCAGAAACTACTTTTTGATGTGTGCATGCAACTCACAGAGTTGAACCTTTCTTTTGATAGAGCAGTTTGCAAACATTCTTTTTGAAGAATCTGCCAGTGGATATATGGAGCCCTTTGAGGCCTTCAGTGGAAACGGGATTATCTTCACATAAAAACTAGACAGAAGCATTCTCAGAAACTTATTTTTGATGTGTGCACTCAACTCACACAGTTGAACCAGACTTTTGATAGAGCAGATCTGAAACACTTTTTTTGTAGAATCTGCTAGTCGATGTTTGGAGGGTATTGAGGCCTAAGGTGGCAAGGGGAATATCTTCACCTAAAAACTAGACAGAAGCACTCTCAGAATCTGCTTTGTGATGTGTGCCTTCAGCTCACAGAGTTGAACTTTCCTTTTGATAGAGCAGTTTTGAAACACTCTTTTTCTAGAATCTGCAAGTGGATAATAGAGGGCTTTGAGGCCTACTGTTGAAACGGGAATATCTTCACCTAAAAACTAGACAGAAGCATTCTCAGAAACTGCTATGTGATGTGTTCATTCACCTCACAGAGTTGAACCTTTCTTTTGATACAGCAGTGTTGAAGCACTCTTTTTGTAGAATCTGCAAGTGGATATATGGAGCACTTTGAGGTCTATGGAAGAAAAGGGAATATCTTCATATAAAAACTAGACAGAAGCATTCTCAGAAACTACTTAGCAATGTGTGCATTCAACTCACAGAGTTGAAACTTTCTTTTGATAGAGCAGTTTTGAAACACTCTTTTCGTAGAATCTGCAAGTGGATATACAGAGCACTTTGAGGCCTCCAGTGGAAATGGGAATATCTTCACATAAAAAGTTAATAGAAGCATTCTCAGAAACTGCTTTGTGATGTGCGCATTCAGCTCACAGAGTTGAAACTTCCTTTTGGTACAGCAGTTTTGAAACCATCTTTTTGTAGAATCTGCAAGTGGATATATGGATCACTTTGAGGCCTATGGAAGAAAAGGAAATATCTTCATATAAAAACTAGACAGAAGCATTCTAGGAAACTACTTAATGATGTGTGCATTCAACCCACATAGTTGAAACTTTCTTTTGATAGATCAGTTTTGAAACTCTCGTTTTGTAGGATCCGCAAGTGGATATACGGAGCACTTTGAGGCCTCCAGTGGAAATGGGAATATCTTAAAATAAAAAGTTGACAGAAGCATTCACGGAAAATTCTTTATGATGTACACATTCAACTAACAGTGTTAAAACTTTCTTTTATAGAGCAGTTTTGAAACACACTTTTTGTAGAATCTCTAAGTGGATATATGGAGAGCTTTGAGGCCTATGTTAGAAAAGGAAGTATCTTCAAATAAAAACTAGACAGAAGCATTCTCAGAAACTTAGTGATTTGTGCATTCAACTCACAAAGTTGAACCTTTCTTTTGATAGAGGAGTGTTGAAACACTCTTTTTGTAGAATCTGCAAGAGGATATATAGAGTCCTTTGAGGCCTTTGGTAGAAAAGGAAATATCTTCATATAAAAACTAGACAAAAGCAGTTGGTTATGAGTGCACTAAACTCACAGAGTTGAACATTTCTTTTGATAGAGCAGTTTTGAAACACTCTTTTTGTAGAAACCTCAAGTGGATACATGGAGCGATTTGAAGCCTTTGGTAGAAAATGAATTATCTTCATATAAAAATTAGACAGAAGCATTCACAGAAACTTCTATGTGATACGTTCATTCAACTCACAGAGTTGAACCTTTCTTTTGATAGAGCAGTGTTGAAACACTCTTCTTGTAGAATCTGCAAGTGGACATTTGGAGAGCTTTGAGGGTTGTGGTGGAAATGGAAATATATTCATATAAAATCGAGACAGAAGCATTCTCAGAAACTACTTTGTGATGTGTGTATTCAACTCACAGAGTTGAACCTTATTTTGATAGAATGGGTTTGAAACACTCTTTTTGTAGAATCCGCAAGTGGACATTTGGAGAGCTTTGAGGCCTATGGTGGAAAAGGAAATATCTACACATAAAAACTAGACAGAAGCATTCTCAGAAACGACTTTGTGATGTGTGCATTCAACTGACATATTTGTACACACCTTTTCATAGAGCAGTTTTGAAACACTCTTTTTTAGTATCTGCAAGTGGATATTTGGAGCACATTTATGATATTTGGAGCACATTTATGCCTATGGTAGAAAAGGAAATATCTTCACATAAAAACTAGACGGAAGCATTCTCAGAAACGAATTTGTGATGTGTGCATTCTACTCCCATAGTTGAAAATTTCTTTCGATAGAGCAGTCTGGAAACACTCTGATTGTAAAATCTGCAAATGGACATTTGGAGCGCTTTGAAGGTTATGGTGGAAAAGGGAATATCTTCGCATTAAAACTAGACAGAAGCATTCTCAGAAACTTCTTTGTGATGTGTGCATTCAACTCCCAGGTTGAACCTTTCTTTTGTTAGAGCAGTTTTGAAACACTCCTTTTGTAGAATCTGCAGGCGGATATTTAAGTACTCTTTGAAGCATTCTTTGGAAACGAGAATATCTTCACATGAAACCTAGACAGAAGCATTCTCAGAAACGTCTTTGTGATGTGTCCATTCAACTCACAGAGTTGATAGAACAGTTTTGATAAAGCAGTTTTGAAACACTCTTTTTAAAGAATCTGCCAGTTCATATTTGCCGTGCTTTGAGGCTTATGGTAGAAAAGGAAATATCTTCCTATAAAACC
Organism: Homo sapiens; assembly: GCF_000001405.40. Classification (NCBI taxonomy): domain Eukaryota; kingdom Metazoa; phylum Chordata; class Mammalia; order Primates; family Hominidae; genus Homo; species Homo sapiens. The sequence goes on from NC_000007.14 coordinate 61,115,014, forward strand.
TAGACAGAAGCATTCTCAGAAACGACTTTGTGATGTGTGCATTCTACACACAAAGTTGAAACTTTCTTTTGATAGAGCAGTTTTGAAACAGTCTTTCCGAAGAATCTTCAAGTGGGCATTTCGAGGGCTTTGAGGACCATTGCGGATAAGGAAATATCTTCCCATAAGGAGTAGACAGAAGTATAATCAGAAACTACATTTTGATGTGTACATTCAACTCACAAAGCAGACCCTTACTTTTGATGGAGAAGTTTTGAAACACTCTTCTTGTAGAATCTGCAATTGGATATTTGGAGCGCTTTCAGGCCTCTGGTAGAAAAGGAAGTATCTTCACATAAAAACTAGACAGAAGCATTCTCAGAAACGACTTTGTGATGTGTGTATTCTACTCCCATAGTTGAACATTTCTTTTGATAGAGCAGCCTGGAAACAATCTTCTTGTAGAATCTGCAAGTGGACATTTGGAGCGTCTTGAAGGCTGTGGTTGAAAAGGTAATATCTTCACCTAAAAACTAAATGGAAGCATTCTCAGAAACTTTCTGTGATGTGTGCGTTCAACTCACAGAGCTGAACCTTCCTTTTTATAGACCAGTTTTGAATCACTCTTTTTGTAGGATCCGCATTTAGATATTTGGAGCGCTTTGAAGACTTCATTGGAATCGCGAATATCTTCACATAAAAACTAGACAGAAGCATTCTCAGAAACTTCTTTGAGATGTGTGCATTCAACTCACGGAGCTGAACCTTTCTTTTGATAGTGCAGTTTTGAAACATTCTTTTTAAAAAATCTGCAGTTGGACATTTGGAGCTCTTTTAGGCTATCGGTTGAAAAGGAAATATCTTCACATTAAAACAAGACGGAAGCATTCTCCGAAACTCCTTTATGATGTCTGCATTCAACTCACAGAGTTGAACCTTCCTTTTGATAGAGCAGTTTTGAAACACTCTTTCTGTAGAATCTGGAGGAGGATATTAGGGTGCTTTGAAGCCTTCTTGGGAAACAGGATTATCTTCACATAAAAATTAGACAGAAGCATTCTCAGAAACTTCTTTGTGATGTGTGCATTCAACTCACAGCGTTGAAACTTCCTTTTGCTAGAGCAGTTTTGAAACCCTCTTTTTGAAGAATCTGAAAGTGCATAATTGCAGCACTTTGAGGCTTAAGGTAGAAAAGGAAATATCTTCATATAAAAACTAGACAGAAGCATTCTCAGAAACTACTTTGTGATGTGTGCATTCTACTCACATAGTTGAAATTTCCTTCTGATACTGCAGTTTTGAAACCGTCTTTTTGAGGAATCTTCGAGTGGGCATTTTGAGGGCTTTGGGGACTATTGTGGATAAGGAAATATCTTCACATGAATAGTAGACAGAAGTGTTCTCAGAAACTTCATTTTGATGGGTGCATTCAAGTAACAAAGTACAACCTTACTTTTATAGAGCAGTTGTGAAACAGTCTTTTTGTAGACTCTGCAAGTGGATATTTGGAGCGCTTTGAAGCCTTCGTTGGAAACGGGAATATCTTCCCATTGAAACTAGACAGAAGCATTCTCAGAAACTTCTTTGTGATGTGGGCATTGAACTCACGGAGCTGAACCTTCCTTTGGATTGAGCAGTTTTGAAAAACTCTTCCTTTATAATCTGCAGGTGGATATTTGGAGTGCTTTGAAGCCTTCTTTGGAAACGGGAGTATCGTCACCTAAAAATAGACAGAAGTATTCTCAGAGACTTCTTTGTGATTTGTGCATTCAACTCACAGAGTTGAAGCTTCTTTTTGACAGAGCAGTTTTGAAACACCCTTTTTGCACAATCTGCAGGAGGATATTTGGAGCTCTTTGAATGCTACATTGGAAACGGGAATATCGTCACCGAAAAACTAGAAAGAAGCATTCTCTGAAACCACTTTATGATGTGTGCATTCATCTCACAGAGTTGAACCTTCCTTTTGATAGAGCAGTTTTGAAACCCTGTTTTTGTACAATCTGCAAGTGGATATTTGGAGCAAATTGAAGCCTTCTTTGGAAATGGGAATATCTTAAAATGTAAAATTAGGCAGAAGCATTCTCAGAAACTACTTTGTGATGTGTGCATTCAACTCACAGAATTGAACCTTCCTTTTGATGGAGCAGTTTTGAAACACTCTTTTTTTAGAATCTGCAAGCGGATATTTGGAGCACATGTATGCCTACGGTAGAAAAGGAAATACCTTCACATAAAAACTAGACAGAAGCATTCTCAGAAACGCATTTGTGATGTGTGCATTCTACTCCCATAGTTGAAAATTTCTTTTGATAGAGCAGTCTGGAAACACTCTGTTTGTAAAATCTGCAAATGGACATTTGGAGCGCTTTGAAGGTTATGGTGGAAAAGCGAATATCTTCGCATTAAAACTAGACAGAAGCATCCTCAGAAACTTCTTTGTGATGTGTGCATTCAACTCCCAGGTTGAACCTTTCTTTTGTTAGAGCAGTTTTGAAACACTCCTTTTTTTAGAATCTGCAGGCGGACACTTAAGTACTCTTTGAAGCATTCTTTGGAAACGAGAACACCTTCACATAAAACCTAGACAGAAGCATTCTCAGAAACGTCTTTGTGATGTGTCCATTCAACTCACAGGGTTGATAGAACAGTTTTGATAGAGCATTTCTGAAACACTCTTTTTAAAGAATCTGCCAGTTCATATTTGCCGTGCTTTGAGGCTTATGGTAGGAAAGGAAATATCTTCCTATAAAAACTAGACAGAAGCATTCTCAGAAACGACTTTGTGATGTGTGCATTCTACACACAAAGTTGAAACTTTCTTTTGATAGAGCAGTTTTGAAACAGTCTTTCCGAAGAATCTTCAAGTGGGCATTTCGAGGGCTTTGAGGACCATTGCGGATAAGGAAATATCTTCCCATAAGGAGTAGACAGAAATATAATCAGAAACTTCATTTTGATGTGTACATTCAACTCACAAAGCAGACCCTTACTTTTGATGGAGAAGTTTTGAAACACTCTTCTTGTAGAATCTGCAATTGGATATTTGGAGCGCTTTCAGGCCTCTGGTAGAAAAGGAAGTATCTTCACATAAAAACTAGACAGAAGCATTCTCAGAAACGACTTTGTGATGTGTGTATTCTACTCCCATAGTTGAACATTTCTTTTGATAGAGCAGCCTGGAAACAATCTTCTTGTAGAATCTGCAAGTGGACATTTGGAGCGTCTTGAAGGCTGTGGTTGAAAAGGTAATATCTTCACCTAAAAACTAAATGGAAGCATTCTCAGAAACTTTCTGTGATGTGTGCGTTCAACTCACAGAGCTGAACCTTCCTTTTTATAGACCAGTTTTGAATCACTCTTTTTGTAGGATCCGCATTTAGATATTTGGAGCGCTTTGAAGACTTCATTGGAATCGCGAATATCTTCACATAAAAACTAGACAGAAGCATTCTCAGAAACTTCTTTGAGATGTGTGCATTCAACTCACGGAGCTGAACCTTTCTTTTGATAGTGCAGTTTTGAAACATTCTTTTTAAAAAATCTGCAGTTGGACATTTGGAGCTCTTTTAGGCTATCGGTTGAAAAGGAAATATCTTCACATTAAAACAAGACGGAAGCATTCTCCGAAACTCCTTTATGATGTCTGCATTCAACTCACAGAGTTGAACCTTCCTTTTGATAGAGCAGTTTTGAAACACTCTTTCTGTAGAATCTGGAGGAGGATATTAGGGTGCTTTGAAGCCTTCTTGGGAAACAGGATTATCTTCACATAAAAATTAGACAGAAGCATTCTCAGAAACTTCTTTGTGATGTGTGCATTCAACTCACAGCGTTGAAACTTCCTTTTGCTAGAGCAGTTTTGAAACCCTCTTTTTGAAGAATCTGAAAGTGCATAATTGCAGCACTTTGAGGCTTAAGGTAGAAAAGGAAATATCTTCATATAAAAACTAGACAGAAGCATTCTCAGAAACTACTTTGTGATGTGTGCATTCTACTCACATAGTTGAAATTTCCTTCTGATACTGCAGTTTTGAAACCGTCTTTTTGAGGAATCTTCGAGTGGGCATTTTGAGGGCTTTGGGGACTATTGTGGATAAGGAAATATCTTCACATGAATAGTAGACAGAAGTGTTCTCAGAAACTTCATTTTGATGGGTGCATTCAAGTAACAAAGTACAACCTAACTTTTATAGAGCAGTTGTGAAACAGTCTTTTTGTAGACTCTGCAAGTGGATATTTGGAGCGCTTTGAAGCCTTCGTTGGAAACGGGAATATCTTCCCATTGAAACTAGACAGAAGCATTCTCAGAAACTTCTTTGTGATGTGGGCATTGAACTCACGGAGCTGAACCTTCCTTTGGATTGAGCAGTTTTGAAAAACTCTTCCTTTATAATCTGCAGGTGGATATTTGGAGTGCTTTGAAGCCTTCTTTGGAAACGGGAGTATCGTCACATAAAAATAGACAGAAGTATTCCCAGAAACTTCTTTGTGATTTGTGCATTCAACTCACAGAGTTGAAGCTTCTTTTTGATAGAGCAGTTTTGAAACACCCTTTTTGCACAATCTGCAGGAGGATATTTGGAGCTCTTTGAGTGCTACATTGGAAACGGGAATATCGTCACCTAAAAACTAGAAAGAAGCATTCTCTGAAACCACTTTGTGATGTGTGCATTCATCTCACAGAGTTGAACCTTCCTTTTGATAGAGCAGTTCTGAAACCCTCTTTTTGTACAATCTGCAAGTGGATATTTGGAGCAAATTGAAGCCTTCTTTGGAAATGGGAATATCTTAAATCTAAAAATTAGGCAGAAGCATTCTCAGAAACTACTTTGTGATGTGTGCATTCAACTCACAGAATTGAACCTTCCTTTTGATACAGCAGTTTTGAAACACTCTTTCTTTTAGAATCTGCAAGTGGATATTTGGAGCACATTTATGCCTGTGGTAGAAAAGGAAATATCTTCACATAAAAACTAGACAGAAGCATTCTCAGAAACGAATTTGTGTTGTGTGCATTCTACTCCCATAGTTGAAAATTTCTTTTGATAGAGCAGTCTGGAAACACTCTGTTTCTAAAATCTGCAAATGGACATTTGGAGCGCTTTGAAGGTTATGATGGAAAAGGGAATATCTTCGCATTAAAACTAGACAGAAGCATTCTCAGAAACTTCTTTGTGATGTGTGCATTCAACTCCCAGGTTGAACCTTTCTTTTGTTAGAGCAGTTTTGAAACACTCCTTTTGTAGAATCTGCAGGCGGATATTTAAGTACTCTTTGAAGCATTCTTTGGAAACGAGAATATCTTCACCTAAAACCTAGACAGAAGCATTCTCAGAAACATCTTTGTGATGTGTCCATTCATCTCACAGAGTTGATAGAACGGTTTTGATAGAGCAGTTTTGAAACACTCTTTTTAAAGAATCTGCCAGTTCATATGTGCAGTGCTTTGAGGCTTATGGTAGAAAAGGAAATATCTTCATATAAAAACTAGACAGAAGCATTCTCAGAAACGACTTTGTGATGTGTGCATTCTACACACAAAGTTGAAACTTTCTTTTGATAGAGCAGTTTTGAAACAGTCTTTCCGAAGAATCTTCAAGTGGGCATTTCGAGGGCTTTGAGGACCATTGCGGATAAGGAAATATCTTCCCATAAGAAGTAGACAGAAGTATAATCAGAAACTTCATTTTGATCTGTACATTCAACTCACAAAGCAGACCCTTACTTTTGATAGAGAAGTTTTGAAACACTCTTTTTGTAGAATCTGCAATTGGATATTTGGAGCGCTTTCAGGCCTCTGGTAGAAAAGGAAATATCTTCACATAAAAACTAGACAGAAGCATTCTCAGAAACGACTTTGTGATGTGTGTATTCTACTCCCATAGTTGAACATTTCTTTTGATAGAGCCGCCTGGAAACAATCTTCTTGTAGAATCTGCAAGTGGACATTTGGAGCGTTTGGAAGGCTGTGGTTGAAAAGGTAATATCTTCACCCAAAAACTAAATGGAAGCTTTGTCCGAAACTTTTTGTGATGTGTGCGTTCAACTCACGGAGCTGAACCTTCCTTTTCATAGACCAGTTTTGAATCACTCTTTTTGTAGAATCCGCATTTAGATATTTGGAGCGCTTTGAAGACTTCATTGGAATCGCGAATACCTTCACATAAAAACTAGACAGAACCATTCTCAGAAACTTCTTTGAGATGTGTGCATTCAACTCACAAAGCTGAACCTTTCTTTTGATAGTGCAGTTTTGAAACATTCTTTTTAAAAAATCTGCAGTTGGACATTTGGAGCTCTTTTAGGCTATCGGTTGAAAAGGAAATATCTTCACATTAAAACAAGACAGAAGCATTCTCAGAAACTCCTTTATGATGTCTGCATTCAACTCACAGAGTTGAACCTTCCTTTTCATAGAGCAGTTTTGAAACACTCTTTCTGTAGAATCTGGAGGCGGATATTAGGGTGCTTTGAAGCCTTCTTGGGAAACAGGATTATCTTCACATAAAAATTAGACAGAAGCATTCTCAGAAACTTCTTTGTGATGTGTGCATTCAACTCACAGCGTTGAAACTTCCTTTTGCCAGAGCAGTTTTGAAACCCTCTTTTTGAAGAATCTGAAAGTGCATAACTGCAGCACTTTGAGGCTTAAGGTCGAAAAGGAAATATCTTCATATAAAAACTAGACAGAAGCATTCTCAGAAACTACTTTGTGATGTGTGCATTCTACTCACATAGTTGAAATTTCCTTCTGATACTGCAGTTTTGAAACAGTCTTTTTGAGGGATCTTCAAGTGGGCATTTTGAGGGCTTTGGGGACTATTGTGGATAAGGAAATATCTTCACATGAAAAGTAGACAGAAGTGTTCTCAGAAACTTCATTTTGATGGGTGCATTCCACTAACAAAGTACAACCTTACTTTTATAGAGCAGTTTTGAAACAGTCTTTTTGTAGACTCTGCAAGCGGATATTTGGAGCGCTTTGAAGCCTTCGTTGGAAACGGGAATATCTTCCCCTTGAAACCACACAGAAGCATTCTCAGAAACTTCTTTGTGATGTGGGCATTGAACTCACGGAGCTGAACCTTCCTTTGGATTGAGCAGTTTTGAAAAACTCTTCCTTTATAATCTGCAGGTGGATATTTGGAGTGCTTTGAAGCCTTCTTTGGAAACGGGAGTATCGTCACATAAAAATAGACAGAAGTATTCCCAGAAACTTCTTTGTGATTTGTGCATTCAACTCACAGAGTTGAAGCTTCTTTTTGATAGAGCAGTTTTGAAACACCCTTTTTGCACAATCTGCAGGAGGATATTTGGAGCTCTTTGAGTGCTACATTGGAAACGGGAATATCGTCACCTGAAAACTAGAAAGAAGCATTCTCTGAAACCACTTTGTGATGTGTGCATTCATCTCACAGAGTTGAACCTTCCTTTTGATAGAGCAGTTTTGAAACCCTCTTTTTGTACAATCTGCAAGTGGATATTTGGAGCAAATTGAAGCCTTCTTTGGAAATGGGAATATCTTAAATCTAAAAATTAGGCAGAAGCATTCTCAGAAACTACTTTGTGATGTGTGCATTCAACTCACAGAATTGAACCTTCCTTTTGATACAGCAGTTTTGAAACACTCTTTGTTTAGAATCTGCAAGTGGATATTTGGAGCACATTTATGCCTGTGGTAGAAAAGGAAATATCTTCACATAAAAACTAGACAGAAGCATTCTCAGAAACGAATTTGTGTTGTGTGCCTTCTACTCCCATAGTTGAAAATTTCTTTTGATAGAGCAGTCTGGAACCACTCTGTTTGTAAAATCTGCAAATAGACATTTGGAGCGCTTTGAAGGTTATGATGGAAAAGGGAATAGCTTCGCATTAAAACTAGACAGAAGCATTCTCAGAAACTTCTTTGTGATGTGTGCATTCAACTCCCAGGTTGAACCTTTCTTTTGTTAGAGCAGTTTTTAAACACTCCTTTTGTAGAATCTGCAGGCGGATATTTAAGTACTCTTTGAAGCATTCTTTGGAAACGAGAATATCTTCACCTAAAACCTAGACAGAAGCATTCTCAGAAACATCTTTGTGATGTGTCCATTCATCTCACAGAGTTGATAGAACAGTTTTGATAGAGCAGTTTTGAAACACTCTTTTTAAAGAATCAGCCAGTTCATATGTGCAGTGCTTTGAGGCTTATGGTAGAAAAGGAAATATCTTCATATAAAAACTAGACAGAAGCATTCTCAGAAACGACTTTGTGATGTGTGCATTCTACACACAAAGTTGAAACTTTCTTTTGATAGAGCAGTTTTGAAACCGTCTTTCCGAAGAATCTTCAAGTGGGCATTTCGAGGGCTTTGAGGACCATTGCGGATAAGGAAATATCTTCCCATAAGAAGTAGACAGAAGTATAATCAGAAACTTCATTTTGATGTGTACATTCAACTCACAAAGCAGACCCTTACTTTTGATAGAGAAGTTTTGAAACACTCTTTTTGTAGAATCTGCAATTGGACGTTTGGAGCGCTTTCAGGCCTCTGGTAGAAAAGGAAATATCTTCACATAAAAGCTAGACAGAAGCATTCTCAGAAACGACTTTGTGATGTGTGTATTCTACTCCCATAGTTGAACATTTCTTTTGATAGAGCCGCCTGGAAACAATCTTCTTGTAGAATCTGCAAGTGGACATTTGGAGCGTTTCGAAGGCTGTGGTTGAAAAGGTAATATCTTCACCTAAAAACTAAATGGAAGCATTGTCCGAAACTTTTTGTGATGTGTGCGTTCAACTCACAGAGCTGAACCTTCCTTTTCATAGACCAGTTTTGAATCACTCTTTTTGTAGAATCCGCATTTAGATATTTGGAGCGCTTTGAAGACTTCATTGGAATCGCGAATACCTTCACATAAAAACTAGACAGAACCATTCTCAGAAACTTCTTTGAGATGTGTGCATTCAACTCACAGAGCTGAACCTTTCTTTTGATAGTGCAGTTTTGAAACATTCTTTTTAAAAAATCTGCAGTTGGACATTTGGAGCTCTTTCAGGCTATCGGTTGAAAAGGAAATATCTTCACATTAAAACAAGACAGAAGCATTCTCAGAAACTCCTTTATGATGTCTGCATTCAACTCACAGAGTTGAACCTTCCTTTCCATAGAGCAGTTTTGAAACACTCTTTCTGTAGAATCTGGAGGCGGATATTAGGGTGCTTTGAAGCCTTCTTGGGAAACAGGATTATCTTCACATAAAAATTAGACAGAAGCATTCTCAGAAACTTCTTTGTGATGTGTGCATTCAACTCACAGCGTTGAAACTTCCTTTTGCCAGAGCAGTTTTGAAACCCTCTTTTTGAAGAATCTGAAAGTGCATAATTGCAGCACTTTGAGGCTTAAGGTCGAAAAGGAAATATCTTCATATAAAAACTAGACAGAAGCATTCTCAGAAACTACTTTGTGATGTGTGCATTCTACTCACATAGTTGAAATTTCCTTCTGATACTGCATTTTTGAAACAGTCTTTTTGAGGGATCTTCAAGTGGGCATTTTGAGGGCTTTGGGGACTATTGTGGATAAGGAAATATCTTCACATGAAAAGTAGACAGAAGTGTTCTCAGAAACTTCATTTTGATGGGTGCATTCCACTAACAAAGTACAACCTTACTTTTATAGAGCAGTTTTGAAACAGTCTTTTTGTAGACTCTGCAAGTGGATATTTGGAGCGCTTTGAAGCCTTCGTTGGAAACGGGAATATCTTCCCCTTGAAACTAGACAGAAGCATTCTCAGAAACTTCTTTGTGATGTGGGCATTGAACTCACGGAGCTGAACCTTCCTTTGGATTGAGCAGTTTTGAAAAACTCTTCCTTTATAATCTGCAGGTGGATATTTGGAGTGCTTTGAAGCCTTCTTTGGAAACGGGAGTATCGTCACATAAATATAGACAGAAGTATTCCCAGAAACTTCTTTGTGATTTGTGCATTCAACTCACAGAGTTGAAGCTTCTTTTTGATAGAGCAGTTTTGAAACACCCTTTTTGCACAATCTGCAGGAGGATATTTGGAGCTCTTTGAGTGCTACATTGGAAACGGGAATATCGTCACCTAAAAACTAGAAAGAAGCATTCTCTGAAACCACTTTGTGATGTGTGCATTCATCTCACAGAGTTGAACCTTCCTTTTGATAGAGCAGTTTTGAATCCCTCTTTTTGTACAATCTGCAAGTGGATATTTGGAGCAAATTGAAGCCTTCTTTGGAAATGGGAATATCTTAAAACTAAAAATTAGGCAGAAGCATTCTCAGAAACTGCTTTGTGATGTGTGCATTCAACTCACAGAATTGAACCTTCCTTTTCATACAGCAGTTTTGAAACACTCTTTGTTTAGAATCTGCAAGTGGATATTTGGAGCACATTTATGCCTGTGGTAGAAAAGGAAATATCTTCACATAAAAACTAGACAGAAGCATTCTCAGAAACGAATTAGTGTTGTGTGCCTTCTACTCCCATAGTTGAAAATTTCTTTTGATAGAGCAGTCTGGAACCACTCTGTTTCTAAAACCTGCAAATGGACATTTGGAGCGCTTTGAACGTTATGATGGAAAAGGGAATATCTTCGCATTAAAACTAGACAGAAGCATTCTCAGAAACTTCTTTGTGATGTGTGCATTCAAATCCCAGGTTGAACCTTTCTTTTATTAGAGCAGTTTTGAAACACTCCTTTTGTAGAATCTGCAGGCGGATATTTAAGTACTCTTTGAAGCATTCTTTGGAAACGAGAATATCTTCACCTAAAACCTAGACAGAAGCATTCTCAGAAAGATCTTTGTGATGTGTCCATTCATCTCACAGAGTTGATAGAACAGTTTTGATAGAGCAGTTTTGAAACACTCTTTTTAAAGAATCTGCCAGTTCATATGTGCAGTGCTTTGAGGCTTATGGTAGAAAAGGAAATATCTTCATATAAAAACTAGACAGAAGCATTCTCAGAAACGACTTTGTGATGTGTGCATTCTACACACAAAGTTGAAACTTTCTTTTGATAGAGCAGTTTTGAAACCGTCTTTCCGAAGAATCTTCAAGTGGGCATTTCGAGGGCTTTGAGGACCATTGCGGATAAGGAAATATCTTCCCATAAGAAGTAGACAGAAGTATAATCAGAAACTTCATTTTGATGTGTACATTCAACTCACAAAGCAGACCCTTACTTTTGATAGAGAAGTTTTGAAACACTCTTTTTGTAGAATCTGCAATTGGACGTTTGGAGCGCTTTCAGGCCTCTGGTAGAAAAGGAAATATCTTCACATAAAAACTAGACAGAAGCATTCTCAGAAACGACTTTGTGATGTGTGTATTCTACTCCCATAGTTGAACATTTCTTTTGATAGAGCCGCCTGGAAACAATCTTCTTGTAGAATCTGCAAGTGGACATTTGGAGCGTTTCGAAGGCTGTGGTTGAAAAGGTAATATCTTCACCTAAAAACTAAATGGAAGCATTCTCCGAAACTTTTTGTGATGTGTGCGTTCAACTCACAGAGCTGAACCTTCCTTTTCATAGACCAGTTTTGAATCACTCTTTTTGTAGAATCCGCATTTAGATATTTGGAGCGCTTTGAAGACTTCATTGGAATCGCGAATACCTTCACATAAAAACTAGACAGAACCATTCTCAGAAACTTCTTTGAGATGTGTGCATTCAACTCACAGAGCTGAACCTTTCTTTTGATAGTGCAGTTTTGAAACATTCTTCTTAAAAAATCTGCAGTTGGACATTTGGAGCTCTTTTAGGCTATCGGTTGAAAAGGAAATATCTTCACATTAAAACAAGACAGAAGCATTCTCAGAAACTCCTTTATGATGTCTGCATTCAACTCACAGAGTTGAACCTTCCTTTTGATAGAGCAGTTTTGAAACACTCTTTCTGTAGAATCTGGAGGCGGATATTAGGGTGCTTTGAAGCCTTCTTGGGAAACAGGATTATCTTCACATAAAAATTAGACAGAAGCATTCTCAGAAACTTCTTTGTGATGTGTGCATTCAACTCACAGCGTTGAAACTTCCTTTTGCCAGAGCAGTTTTGAAACCCTCTTTTTGAAGAATCTGAAAGTGCATAATTGCAGCACTTTGAGGCTTAAGGTCGAAAAGGAAATATCTTCATATAAAAACTAGACAGAAGCATTCTCAGAAACTACTTTGTGATGTGTGCATTCTACTCACATAGTTGAAATTTCCTTCTGATGCTGCAGTTTTGAAACAGTCTTTTTGAGGGATCTTCAAGTGGGCATTTTGAGGGCTTTGGGGACTATTGTGGATAAGGAAATATCTTCACATGAAAAGTAGACAGAAGTGTTCTCAGAAACTTCATTTTGATGGGTGCATTCCACTAACAAAGTACAACCTTACTTTTATAGAGCAGTTGTGAAACAGTCTTTTTGTAGACTCTGCAAGTGGATATTTGGAGCGCTTTGAAGCCTTCGTTGGAAACGGGAATATCTTCCCCTTGAAACTAGACAGAAGCATTCTCAGAAACTTCTTTGTGATGTGGGCATTGAACTCACGGAGCTGAACCTTCCTTTGGATTGAGCAGTTTTGAAAAACTCTTCCTTTATAATCTGCAGGTGGATATTTGGAGTGCTTTGAAGCCTTCTTTGGAAACGGGAGTATCGTCACATAAAAATAGACAGAAGTATTCCCAGAAACTTCTTTGTGATTTGTGCATTCAACTCACAGAGTTGAAGCTTCTTTTTGATAGAGCAGTTTTGAAACACCCTTTTTGCACAATCTGCAGGAGGATATTTGGAGCTCTTTGAGTGCTACATTGGAAACGGGAATATCGTCACCTAAAAACTAGAAAGAAGCATTCTCTGAAACCACTTTGTGATGTTTGCATTCATCTCACAGAGTTGAACCTTCCTTTTGATAGAGCAGTTTTGAAACCCTCTTTTTGTACAATCTGCAAGTGGATATTTGGAGCAAATTGAAGCCTTCTTTGGAAATGGGAATATCTTAAATCTAAAAATTAGGCAGAAGCATTCTCAGAAACTACTTTGTGATGTGTGCATTCAACTCACAGAATTGAACCTTCCTTTTGATACAGCAGTTTTGAAACACTCTTTTTTCAGAATCTGCAAGTGGATATTTGGAGCACATTTATGCCTGTGGTAGAAAAGGAAATATCTTCACATAAAAACTAGACAGAAGCATTCTCAGAAACGAATTTGTGTTGTGTGCATTCTACTCCCATAGTTGAAAATTTCTTTTGATAGAGCAGTCTGGAACCACTCTGTTTCTAAAATCTGCAAATGGACATTTGGAGCGCTTTGAAGGTTATGATGGAAAAGGGAATATCTTCGCATTAAAACTAGACAGAAGCATTCTCAGAAACTTCTTTGTGATGTGTGCATTCAACTCCCAGGTTGAACCTTTCTTTTGTTAGAGCAGTTTTGAAACACTCCTTTTGTAGAATCTGCAGGCGGATATTTAAGTACTCTTTGAAGCATTCTTTGGAAACGAGAATATCTTCACCTAAAACCTAGACAGAAGCATTCTCAGAAACATCTTTGTGATGTGTCCATTCATCTCACAGAGTTGATAGAACAGTTTTGATAGAGCAGTTTTGAAACACTCTTTTTAAAGAATCTGCCAGTTCATATGTGCAGTGCTTTGAGGCTTATGGTAGAAAAGGAAATATCTTCCTATAAAAACTAGACAGAAGCATTCTCAGAAACGACTTTGTGATGTGTGCATTCTACACACAAAGTTGAAACTTTCTTTTGATAGAGCAGTTTTGAAACCGTCTTTCCGAAGAATATTCAAGTGGGCATTTCGAGGGCTTTGAGGACCATTGCGGATAAGGAAATATCTTCCCATAAGAAGTAGACAGAAGTATAATCAGAAACTTCATTTTGATGTGTACATTCAACTCACAAAGCAGACCCTTACTTTTGATAGAGAAGTTTTGAAACACTCTTTTTGTAGAATCTGCAATTGGATATTTGGAGCGCTTTCAGGCCTCTGGTAGAAAAGGAAATATCTTCACATAAAAACTAGACAGAAGCATTCTCAGAAACGACTTTGTGATGTGTGTATTCTACTCCCATAGTTGAACATTTCTTTTGATAGAGCCGCCTGGAAACAATCTTCTTGTACAATCTGCAAGTGGACATTTGGAGCGTTTCGAAGGCTGTGGTTGAAAAGGTAATATCTTCACCTAAAAACTAAATGGAAGCATTGTCGGAAACTTTTTGTGATGTGTGTGTTCAACTCACAGAGCTGAACCTTCCTTTTCATAGACCAGTTTTGAATCACTCTTTTTGTAGAATCCGCATTTAGATATTTGGAGCGCTTTGAAGACTTCATTGGAATCGCGAATACCTTCACATAAAAACTAGACAGAACCATTCTCAGAAACTTCTTTGAGATGTGTGCATTCAACTCACAGAGCTGAACCTTTCTTTTGATAGTGCAGTGTTGAAACATTCTTTTTAAAAAATCTGCAGTTGGACATTTGGAGCTCTTTTAGGCTATCGGTTGAAAAGGAAATATCTTCACATTAAAACAAGACAGAAGCATTCTCAGAAACTCCTTTATGATGTCTGCATTCAACTCACAGAGTTGAACCTTCCTTTTGATAGAGCAGTTTTGAAACACTCTTTCTGTAGAATCTGGAGGCGGATATTAGGGTGCTTTGAAGCCTTCTTGGGAAACAGGATTATCTTCACATAAAAATTAGACAGAAGCATTCTCAGAAACTTCTTTGTGATGTGTGCATTCAACTCACAGCGTTGAAACTTCCTTTTGCCAGAGCAGTTTTGAAACCCTCTTTTTGAAGAATCTGAAAGTGCATAATTGCAGCACTTTGAGGCTTAAGGTCGAAAAGGAAATATCTTCATATAAAAACTAGACAGAAGCATTCTCAGAAACTACTTTGTGATGTGTGCATTCTACTCACATAGTTGAAATTTCCTTCTGATACTGCAGTTTTGAAACAGTCTTTTTGAGTGATCTTCAAGTGGGCATTTTGAGGGCTTTGGGGACTATTGTGGATAAGGAAATATCTTCACATGAAAAGTAGACAGAAGTGTTCTCAGAAACTTCATTTTGATGGGTGCATTCCACTAACAAAGTACAACCTTACTTTTATAGAGCAGTTTTGAAACAGTCTTTTTGTAGACTCTGCAAGTGGATATTTGGAGCGCTTTGAAGCCTTCGTTGGAAACGGGAATATCTTCCCCTTGAAACTAGACAGAAGCATTCTCAGAAACTTCTTTGTGATGTGGGCATTGAACTCACGGAGCTGAAACTTCCTTTGGATTGAGCAGTTTTGAAAAACTCTTCCTTTATAATCTGCAGGTGGATATTTGGAGTGCTTTGAAGCCTTCTTTGGAAACGGGAGTATCGTCACATAAAAATAGACAGAAGTATTCCCAGAAACTTCTTTGTGATTTGTGCATTCAACTGACAGAGTTGAAGCTTCTTTTTGATAGAGCAGTTTTGAAACACCCTTTTTGCACAATCTGCAGGAGGATATTTGGAGCTCTTTGAGTGCTACATTGGAAACGGGAATATCGTCACCTAAAAACTAGAAAGAAGCATTCTCTGAAACCACTTTGTGATGTGTGCATTCATCTCACAGAGTTGAACCTTCCTTTTGATAGAGCAGTTTTGAAACCCTCTTTTTGTACAATCTGCGAGTGGATATTTGGAGCAAATTGAAGCCTTCTTTGGAAATTAGAATATCTTAAATCTAAAAATTAGGCAGAAGCATTCTCAGAAACTACTTTGTGATGTGTGCATTCAACTCACAGAATTGAACCTTCCTTTTGATACAGCAGTTTTGAAACACTCTTTTTTCAGAATCTGCAAGTGGATATTTGGAGCACATTTATGCCTGTGGTAGAAAAGGAAATATCTTCACATAAAAACTAGACAGAAGCATTCTCAGAAACGAATTTGTGTTGTGTGCATTCTACTCCCATAGTTGAAAATTTCTTTTGATAGAGCAGTCTGGAACCACTCTGTTTCTAAAATCTGCAAATGGACATTTGGAGCGCTTTGAAGGTTATGATGGAAAAGGGAATATCTTCGCATTAAAACTAGACAGAAGCATTCTCAGAAACTTCTTTGTGATGTGTGCATTCAACTCCCAGGTTGAACCTTTCTTTTGTTAGAACAGTTTTGAAACACTCCTTTTATAGAATCTGCAGGCGGATATTTAAGTACTCTTTGAAGCATTCTTTGGAAACGAGAATATCTTCACCTAAAACCTAGACAGAAGCATTCTCAGAAACATCTTTGTGATGTGTCCATTCATCTCACAGAGTTGATAGAACAGTTTTGATAGAGCAGTTTTGAAACACTCTTTTTAAAGGATCTGCCAGTTCATATGTGCAGTGCTTTGAGGCTTATGGTAGAAAAGGAAATATCTTCATATAAAAACTAGACAGAAGCATTCTCAGAAACGACTTTGTGATGTGTGCATTCTACACACAAAGTTGAAACTTTCTTTTGATAGAGCAGTTTTGAAACAGTCTTTCCGAAGAATCTTCAAGTGGGCATTTCGAGGGCTTTGAGGACCATTGCGGATAAGGAAATATCTTCCCATAAGAAGTAGACAGAAGTATAATCAGAAACTTCATTTTGATGTGTACATTCAACTCACAAAGCAGACCCTTACTTTTGATAGAGAAGTTTTGAAACACTCTTTTTGTAGAATCTGCAATTGGATATTTGGAGCGCTTTCAGGCCTCTGGTAGAAAAGGAAATATCTTCACATAAAAACTAGACAGAAGCATTCTCAGAAACGACTTTGTGATGTGTGTATTCTACTCCCATAGTTGAACATTTCTTTTGATAGAGCCGCCTGGAAACAATCTTCTTGTAGAATCTGCAAGTGGACATTTGGAGCGTTTCGAAGGCTGTGGTTGAAAAGGTAATATCTTCACCTAAAAACTAAATGGAAGCATTGTCGGAAACTTTTTGTGATGTGTGCGTTCAACTCACAGAGCTGAACCTTCCTTTTCATAGACCAGTTTTGAATCACTCTTTTTGTAGGATCCGCATTTAGATATTTGGAGCGCTTTGAAGACTTCATTGTAATCGCGAATACCTTCACATAAAAACTAGACAGAACCATTCTCAGAAACTTCTTTGAGATGTGTGCATTCAACTCACAGAGCTGAACCTTTCTTTTGATAGTGCAGTTTTGAAACATTCTTTTTAAAAAATCTGCAGTTGGACATTTGGAGCTCTTTTAGGCTATCGGTTGAAAAGGAAATATCTTCACATTAAAACAAGACAGAAGCATTCTCAGAAACTCCTTTATGATGTCTGCATTCAACTCACAGAGTTGAACCTTCCTTTCCATAGAGCAGTTTTGAAACACTCTTTCTGTAGAATCTGGAGGCGGATATTAGGGTGCTTTGAAGCCTTCTTGGGAAACAGGATTAACTTCACATAAAAATTAGACAGAAGCATTCTCAGAAACTTCTTTGTGATGTGTGCATTCAACTCACAGCGTTGAAACTTCCTTTTGCCAGAGCAGTTTTGAAACCCTCTTTTTGAAGAATCTGAAAGTGCATAATTGCAGCACTTTGAGGCTTAAGGTCGAAAAGGAAATATCTTCATATAAAAACTAGACAGAAGCATTCTCAGAAACTACTTTGTGATGTGTGCATTCTACTCACATAGTTGAAATTTCCTTCTGATACTGCAGTTTTGAAACAGTCTTTTTGAGGGATCTTCAAGTGGGCATTTTGAGGGCTTTGGGGACTATTGTGGATAAGGAAATATCTTCACATGAAAAGTAGACAGAAGTGTTCTCAGAAACTTAATTTTGATGGGTGCATTCCACTAACAAAGTAAAACCTTACTTTTATAGAGCAGTTTTGAAACAGTCTTTTTGTAGACTCTGCAAGTGGATATTTGGAGCGCTTTGAAGCCTTCGTTGGAAACGGGAATATCTTCCCCTTGAAACCACACAGAAGCATTCTCAGAAACTTCTTTGTGATGTGGGCATTGAACTCACGGAGCTGAACCTTCCTTTGGATTGAGCAGTTTTGAAAAACTCTTCCTTTATAATCTGCAGGTGGATATTTGGAGTGCTTTGAAGCCTTCTTGGGAAACGGGACTATCGTCACATAAAAATAGACAGAAGTATTCCCAGAAACTTCTTTGTGATTTGTGCATTCAACTCACAGAGTTGAAGCTTCTTTTTGATAGAGCAGTTTTGAAACACCCTTTTTGCACAATCTGCAGGAGGATATTTGGAGCTCTTTGAGTGCTACATTGGAAACGGGAATATCGTCACCTGAAAACTAGAAAGAAGCATTCTCTGAAACCACTTTGTGATGTGTGCATTCATCTCACAGAGTTGAACCTTCCTTTTGATAGAGCAGTTTTGAAACCCTCTTTTTGTACAATCTGCAAGTGGATATTTGGAGCAAATTGAAGCCTTCTTTGGAAATGGGAATATCCTAAATCTAAAAATTAGGCAGAAGCATTCTCAGAAACTACTTTGTGATGTGTGCATTCAACTCACAGAATTGAACCTTCCTTTTGATACAGCAGTTTTGAAACACTCTTTTTTTAGAATCTGCAAGTGGATATTTGGAGCACATTTATGCCTGTGGTAGAAAAGGAAATATCTTCACATAAAAAATTGACAGAAGCATTCTCAGAAACGAATTTGTGTTGTGTGCATTCTACTCCCGTAGTTGAAAATTTCTTTTGATAGAGCAGTCTGGAAACACTCTGTTTCTAAAATCTGCAAATGGACATTTGGAGCGCTTTGAAGGTTATGATGGAAAAGGAAATATCTTCGCATTAAAACTAGACAGAAGCATTCTCAGAAACTTCTTTGTGATGTGTGCATTCAACTCCCAGGTTGAACCTTTCTTTTGTTAGAGCAGTTTTGAAACACTCCTTTTGTAGAATCTGCAGGCGGATATTTAAGTACTCTTTGAAGCATTCTTTGGAAACGAGAATATCTTCACCTAAAACCTAGACAGAAGCATTCTCAGAAACATCTTTGTGATGTGTCCATTCATCTCACAGAGTTGATAGAACAGTTTTGATAGAGCAGTTTTGAAACACTCTTTTTAAAGAATCTGTCAGTTCAAATGTGCAGTGCTTTGAGGCTTATGGTAGAAAAGGAAATATCTTCATATAAAAACTAGACAGAAGCATTCTCAGAAACGACTTTGTGATGTGTGCATTCTACACACAAAGTTGAAACTTTCTTTTGATAGAGCAGTTTTGAAACAGTCTTTCCGAAGAATCTTCAAGTGGGCACTTCGAGGGCTTTGAGGACCATTGCGGATAAGGAAATATCTTCCCATAAGAAGTAGACAGAAGTATAATCAGAAACTTCATTTTGATGTGTACATTCAACTCACAAAGCAGACCCTAACTTTTGATAGAGAAGTTTTGAAACACTCTTTTTGTAGAATCTGCAATTGGATGTTTGGAGCGCTTTCAGGCCTCTGGTAGAAAAGGAAATATCTTCACATAAAAACTAGACAGAAGCATTCTCAGAAACGACTTTGTGATGTGTGTATTCTACTCCCATAGTTGAACATTTCTTTTGAAAGAGCCGCCTGGAAACAATCTTCTTGTAGAATCTGCAAGTGGACATTTGGAGCGTTTCGAAGGCTGTGGTTGAAAAGGTAATATCTTCACCTGAAAACTAAATGGAAGCATTGTCCGAAACTTTTTGTGATGTGTGCGTTCAACTCACAGAGCTGAACCTTCCTTTTCATAGACCAGTTTTGAATCACTCTTTTTGTAGAATCCGCATTTAGATATTTGGAGCGCTTTGAAGACTTCATTGGAATCGCAAATACCTTCACATAAAAACTAGACAGAACCATTCTCAGAAACTTCTTTGAGATGTGTGCATTCAACTCACAGAGCTGAACCTTTCTTTTGATAGTGCAGTTTTGAAACATTCTTTTTAAAAAATCTGCAGTTGGACATTTGGAGCTCTTTTAGGCTATCGGTTGAAAAGGAAATATCTTCACATTAAAACAAGACAGAAGCATTCTCAGAAACTCCTTTATGATGTCTGCATTCATCTCACAGAGTTGAACCTTCCTTTTCATAGAGCAGTTTTGAAACACTCTTTCTGTAGAATCTGGAGGCGGATATTAGGGTGCTTTGAAGCCTTCTTGGGAAACAGGATTATCTTCACATAAAAATTAGACAGAAGCATTCTCAGAAACTTCTTTGTGATGTGTGCATTCAACTCACAGCGTTGAAACTTCCTTTTGCCAGAGCAGTTTTGAAACCCTCTTTTTGAAGAATCTGAAAGTGCATAATTGCAGCACTTTGACGCTTAAGGTCGAAAAGGAAATATCTTCATATAAAAACTAGACAGAAGCATTCTCAGAAACTACTTTGTGATGTGTGCATTCTACTCACATAGTTGAAATTTCCTTCTGATACTGCAGTTTTGAAACAGTCTTTTTGAGGGATCTTCAAGTGGGCATTTTGAGGGCTTTGGGGACTATTGTGGATAAGGAAATATCTTCACATGAAAAGTAGACAGAAGTGTTCTCAGAAACTTCATTTTGATGGGTGCATTCCACTAACAAAGTACAACCTTACTTTTATAGAGCAGTTTTGAAACAGTTTTTTTGTAGACTCTGCAAGTGGATATTTGGAGCGCTTTGAAGCCTTCGTTGGAAACGGGAATATCTTCCCCTTGAAACTAGACAGAAGCATTCTCAGAAACTTCTTTGTGATGTGGGCATTGAACTCACGGAGCTGAACCTTCCTTTGGATTGAGCAGTTTTGAAAAACTCTTCCTTTATAATCTGCAGGTGGATATTTGGAGTGCTTTGAAGCCTTCTTTGGAAACGGGACTATCGTCACATAAAAATAGACAGAAGTATTCCCAGAAACTTCATTGTGATTTGTGCATTCAACTCACAGAGTTGAAGCTTCTTTTTGATAGAGCAGTTTTGAAACACCCTTTTTGCACAATCTGCAGGAGGATATTTGGAGCTCTTTGAGTGCTACATTGGAAACGGGAATATCGTCACCTAAAAACTAGAAAGAAGCATTCTCGGAAACCACTTTGTGATGTGTGCATTCATCTCACAGAGTTGAACCTTCCTGTTGATAGAGCAGTTTTGAAACCCTCTTTTTGTACAATCTGCAAGTGGATATTTGGAGCAAATTGAAGTCTTCTTTGGAAATTAGAATATCTTAAAACTAAAAATTAGGCAGAAGCATTCTCAGAAACTGCTTTGTGATGTGTGCATTCAACTCACAGAATTGAACCTTCCTTTTGATACAGCAGTTTTGAAACACTCTTTTTTCAGAATCTGCAAGTGGATATTTGGAGCACATTTATGCCTGTGGTAGAAAAGGAAATATCTTCACATAAAAACTAGACAGAAGCATTCTCAGAAACGAATTTGTGTTGTGTGCATTCTACTCCCATAGTTGAAAATTTCTTTTGATAGAGCAGTCTGGAACCACTCTGTTTCTAAAATCTGCAAATGGACATTTGGAGCGCTTTGAAGGTTATGATGGAAAAGGGAATATCTTCGCATTAAAACTAGACAGAAGCACTCTCAGAAACTTCTTTGTGATGTGTGCATTCAACTCCCAGGTTGAACCTTTCTTTTGTTAGAGCAGTTTCGAAACACTCCTTTTGTAGAATCTGCAGGCGGATATTTAAGTACTCTTTGAAGCATTCTTTGGAAACGAGAATATCTTCACCTAAAACCTAGACAGAAGCATTCTCAGAAACATCTTTGTGATGTGTCCATTCATCTCACAGAGTTGATAGAACAGTTTTGATAGAGCAGTTTTGAAACACTCTTTTTAAAGGATCTGCCAGTTCATATGTGCAGTGCTTTGAGGCTTATGGTAGAAAAGGAAATATCTTCATATAAAAACTAGACAGAAGCATTCTCAGAAACGACTTTGTGATGTGTGTATTCTACTCCCATAGTTGAACATTTCTTTTGATAGAGCCGCCTGGAAACAATCTTCTTGTAGAATCTGCAAGTGGACATTTGGAGCGTTTCGAAGGCTGTTGTTGAAAAGGTAATATCTTCACCTAAAAACTAAATGGAAGCATTGTCCGAAACTTTTTGTGATGTGTGCGTTCAACTCACAGAGCTGAACCTTCCTTTTCATAGACCAGTTTTGAATCACTCTTTTTGTAGAATCCGCATTTAGATATTTGGAGCGCTTTGAAGACTTCATTGGAATCGCGAATACCTTCACATAAAAACTAGACAGAACCATTCTCAGAAACTTCTTTGAGATGTGTGCATTCAACTCACAGAGCTGAACCTTTCTTTTGATAGTGCAGTTTTGAAACATTCTTTTTAAAAAATCTGCAGTTGGACATTTGGAGCTCTTTTAGGCTATCGGTTGAAAAGGAAATATCTTCACATTAAAACAAGACAGAAGCATTCTCAGAAACTCCTTTATGATGTCTGCATTCAACTCACAGAGTTGAACCTTCCTTTCCATAGAGCAGTTTTGAAACACTCTTTCTGTAGAATCTGGAGACGGATATTAGGGTGCTTTGAAGCCTTCTTGGGAAACAGGATTATCTTCACATAAAAATTAGACAGAAGCATTCTCAGAAACTTCTTTGTGATGTGTGCATTCAACTCACAGCGTTGAAACTTCCTTTTGCCAGAGCAGTTTTGAAACCCTCTTTTTGAAGAATCTGAAAGTGCATAATTGCAGCACTTTGAGGCTTAAGGTCGAAAAGGAAATATCTTCATATAAAAACTAGACAGAAGCATTCTCAGAAACTACTTTGTGATGTGTGCATTCTGCTCATATAGTTGAAATTTGCTTCTGATACTGCAGTTTTGAAACAGTCTTTTTGAGGGATCTTCAAGTGGGCATTTTGAGGGCTTTGGGGACTATTGTGGATAAGGAAATATCTTCACATGAAAAGTAGACAGAAGTGTTCTCAGAAACTTCATTTTGATGGGTGCTTTCAACTAACAAAGTACAACCTTACTTTTATAGAGCAGTTTTGAAACAGTCTTTTTGTAGACTCTGCAAGCGGATATTTGGAGCGCTTTGAAGCCTTCGTTGGAAACGGGAATATCTTCCCCTTGAAACCACACAGAAGCATTCTCAGAAACTTCTTTGTGATGTGGGCATTGAACTCACGGAGCTGAACCTTCCTTTGGATTGAGCAGTTTGGAAAAACTCTTCCTTTATAATCTGCAGGTGGATATTTGGAGTGCTTTGAAGCCTTCTTTGGAAACGGGAGTATCGTCACATAAAAATAGACAGAAGTATTCCCAGAAACTTCTTTGTGATTTGTGCATTCAACTCACAGAGTTGAAGCTTCTTTTTGATAGAGCAGTTTTGAAACACCCTTTTTGCACAATCTGCAGGAGGATATTTGGAGCTCTTTGAGTGCTACATTGGAAACGGGAATATCGTCACCTGAAAACTAGAAAGAAGCATTCTCTGAAACCACTTTGTGATGTGTGCATTCATCTCACAGAGTTGAACCTTCCTTTTGATAGAGCAGTTTTGAAACCCTCTTTTTGTACAATCTGCAAGTGGATATTTGGAGCAAATTGAAGCCTTCTTTGGAAATGGGAATATCTTAAATCTAAAAATTAGGCAGAAGCATTCTCAGAAACTACTTTGTGATGTGTGCATTCAACTCACAGAATTGAACCTTCCTTTTGATACAGCAGTTTTGAAACACTCTTTGTTTAGAATCTGCAAGTGGATATTTGGAGCACATTTATGCCTGTGGTAGAAAAGGAAATATCTTCACATAAAAACTAGACAGAAGCATTCTCAGAAACGAATTTGTGTTGTGTGCATTCTACTCCCATAGTTGAAAATTTCTTTTGATAGAGCAGTCTTGAACCACTCTGTTTCTAAAATCTGCAAATGGACATTTGGAGCGCTTTGAAGGTTATGATGGAAAAGGGAATATCTTCGCATTAATACTAGACAGAAGCATTCTCAGAAACTTCTTTGTGATGTGTGCATTCAACTCCCAGGTTGAACCTTTCTTTTGTTAGAGCAGTTTTGAAACACTCCTTTTGTAGAATCTGCAGGCGGATATTTAAGTACTCTTTGAAGCATTCTTTGGAAACGAGAATATCTTCACCTAAAACCTAGACAGAAGCATTCTCAGAAACATCTTTGTGATGTGTCCATTCATCTCACAGAGTTGATAGAACAGTTTTGATAGAGCAGATTTGAAACACTCTTTTTAAAGAATCTGCCAGTTCATATGTGCAGTGCTTTGAGGCTTATGGTAGAAAAGGAAATATCTTCCTATAAAAACTAGACAGAAGCATTCTCAGAAACGACTTTGTGATGCGTGCATTGTACACACAAAGTTGAAACTTTCTTTTGATAGAGCAGTTTTGAAACCGTCTTTCCGAAGAATCTTCAAGTGGGCATTTCGAGGGCTTTGAGGACCATTGCGGATAAGGAAATATCTTCCCATAAGAAGTAGACAGAAGTATAATCAGAAACTTCATTTTGATGTGTACATTCAACTCACAAAGCAGACCCTTACTTTTGATAGAGAAGTTTTGAAACACTCTTTTTGTAGAATCTGCAATTGGATGTTTGGAGCGCTTTCAGGCCTCTGGTAGAAAAGGAAATATCTTCACATAAAAACTAGACAGAAGCATTCTCAGAAACGACTTTGTGATGTGTGTATTCTACTCCCATAGTTGAACATTTCTTTTGATAGAGCCGCCTGGAAACAATCTTCTTGTAGAATCTGCAAGTGGACATTTGGAGCGTTTCGAAGGCTGTGGTTGAAAAGCTAATATCTTCACCTAAAAACTAAATGGAAGCATTGTCCGAAACTTTTTGTGATGTGTGCGTTCTACTCCCATAGTGGAACATTTCTTTTGATAGAGCCGCCTGGAAACAATCTTCTTGTAGAATCTGCAAGTGGACATTTGGAGCGTTTCGAAGGCTGTGGTTGAAAAGGTAATATCTTCACCTAAAAACTAAATGGAAGCATTGTCCGAAACGTTTTGTGATGTGTGCGTTCAACTCACAGAGCTGAACCTTCCTTTTCATAGACCAGTTTTGAATCACTCTTTTTGTAGAATACGCATTTAGATATTTGGAGCGCTTTGAAGACTTCATTGGAATCGCGAATACCTTCACATAAAAACTAGACAGAACCATTCTCAGAAACTTCTTTGAGATGTGTGCATTCAACTCACAGAGCTGAACCTTTCTTTTGATAGTGCAGTTTTGAAACATTCTTTTTAAAAAATCTTCAGTTGGACATTTGGAGCTCTTTTAGGCTATCAGTTGAAAAGGAAATATCTTCACATTAAAACAAGACAGAAGCATTCTCAGAAACTCCTTTATGATGTCTGCATTCAACTCACAGAGTTGAACCTTTCTTTCCATAGAGCAGTTTTGAAACACTCTTTCTGTAGAATCTGGAGGCGGATATTAGGGTGCTTTGAAGCCTTCTTGGGAAACAGGATTATCTTCACATAAAAATTAGACAGAAGCATTCTCAGAAACTTCTTTGTGATGTGTGCATTCAACTCACAGCGTTGAAACTTCCTTTTGCCAGAGCAGTTTTGAAACCCTCTTTTTGAAGAATCTGAAAGTGCATAATTGCAGCACTTTGAGGCTTAAGGTCGAAGAGGAAATATCTTCATATAAAAACTAGACAGAAGCATTCTCAGAAACTACTTTGTGATGTGTGCATTCTACTCACATAGTTGAAATTTCCTTCTGACACTGCAGTTTTGAAACAGTCTTTTTGAGGGATCTTCAAGCGGGCATTTTGAGGGCTTTGGGGACTGTTGTGGATAAGGAAATATCTTCACATGAAAAGTAGACAGAAGTGTTCTCAGAAACTTCATTTTGATGGGTGCATTCCACTAACAAAGTACAACCTTACTTTTATAGAGCAGTTTTGAAACAGTCTTTTTGTAGAGTCTGCAAGTGGATAGTTGGAGCGCTTTGAAGCCTTCGTTGGAAACGGGAATATCTTCCCCTTGAAACCAGACAGAAGCATTCTCAGAAACTTCTTTGTGATGTGGGCATTGAACTCACGGAGCGGAACCTTCCTTTGGATTGAGCAGTTTTGAAAAACTCTTCCTTTATAATCTGCAGGTGGATATTTGGAGTGCTTTGAAGCCTTCTTTGGAAACGGGAGTATCGTCACATAAAAATAGACAGAAGTATTCCCAGAAACTTCTTTGTGATTTGTGCATTCAACTCACAGAGTTGAAGCTTCTTTTTGATAGAGCAGTTTTGAAACACCCTTTTTGCACAATCTGCAGGAGGATATTTGGAGCTCTTTGAGTGCTACATTGGAAACGGGAATATCGTCACCTGAAAACTAGAAAGAAGCATTCTCTGAAACCACTTTGTGATGTGTGCATTCATCTCACAGAGTTGAACCTTCCTTTTGATAGAGCAGTTTTGAAACCCTCTTTTTGTACAATCTGCAAGTGGATATTTGGAGCAAATTGAAGCCTTCTTTGGAAATGGGAATATCTTAAATCTAAAAATTAGGCAGAAGCATTCTCAGAAACTACTTTGTGATGTGTGCATTCAACTCACAGAATTGAACCTTCCTTTTGATACAGCAGTTTTGAAACACTCTTTGTTTAGAATCTGCAAGTGGATATTTGGAGCACATTTATGCCTGTGGTAGAAAAGGAAATATCTTCACATAAAAACTAGACAGAAGCATTCTCAGAAACGAATTTGTGTTGTGTGCATTCTACTCCCATAGTTGAAAATTTCTTTTGATAGAGCAGTCTGGAAACACTCTGTTTCTAAAATCTGCAAATGGACATTTGGAGCGCTTTGAAGGTTATGATGGAAAAGGGAATATCTTCGCATTAAAACTAGACAGAAGCATTCTCAGAAACTTCTTTGTGATGTGTGCATTCAACTCCCAGGTTGAACCTTTCTTTTGTTAGAGCAGTTTTGAAACACTCCTTTTGTAGAATCTGCAGGCGGATATTTAAGTACTCTTTGAAGCATTCTTTGGAAACGAGAATATCTTCACCTAAAACCTAGACAGAAGCATTCTCAGAAAGATCTTTGTGATGTGTCCATTCATCTCACAGAGTTGATAGAACAGTTTTGATAGAGCAGTTTTGAAACACTCTTTTTAAAGAATCTGCCAGTTCATATGTGCAGTGCTTTGGGGCTTATGGTAGAAAAGGAAATATCTTCATATAAAAACTAGACAGAAGCATTCTCAGAAACGACTTTGTGATGTGTGCATTCTACACACAAAGTTGAAACTTTCTTTTGATAGAGCAGTTTTGAAACAGTCTTTCCGAAGAATCTTCAAGTGGGCATTTCGAGGGCTTTGAGGACCATTGCGGATAAGGAAATATCTTCCCATAAGAAGTAGACAGAAGTATAATCAGAAACTTCATTTTGATGTGTACATTCAACTCACAAAGCAGACCCTTACTTTTGATAGAGAAGTTTTGAAACAGTCTTTTTGTAGAATCTGCAATTGGATATTTGGAGCGCTTTCAGGCCTCTGGTAGAAAAGGAAATATCTTCACATAAAAACTAGACAGAAGCATTCTCAGAAACGACTTTGTGATGTGTGTATTCTACTCCCATAGTTGAACATTTCTTTTGATAGAGCCGCCTGGAAACAATCTTCTTGTAGAATCTGCAAGTGGACATTTGGAGCGTTTCGAAGGCTGTTGTTGAAAAGGTAATATCTTCACCTAAAAACTAAATGGAAGCATTGTCCGAAACTTTTTGTGATGTGTGCGTTCAACTCACAGAGCTGAACCTTCCTTTTCATAGACCAGTTTTGAATCACTCTTTTTGTAGAATCCGCATTTAGATATTTGGAGCGCTTTGAAGACTTCATTGGAATCGCGAATACCTTCACATAAAAACTAGACAGAACCATTCTCAGAAACTTCTTTGAGATGTGTGCATTCAACTCACAGAGCTGAACCTTTCTTTTGATAGTGCAGTTTTGAAACATTCTTTTTAAAAAATCTGCAGTTGGACATTTGGAGCTCTTTTAGGCTATCGGTTGAAAAGGAAATATCTTCACATTAAAACAAGACAGAAGCATTCTCAGAAACTCCTTTATGATGTCTGCATTCAACTCACAGAGTTGAACCTTCCTTTCCATAGAGCAGTTTTGAAACACTCTTTCTGTAGAATCTGGAGACGGATATTAGGGTGCTTTGAAGCCTTCTTGGGAAACAGGATTATCTTCACATAAAAATTAGACAGAAGCATTCTCAGAAACTTCTTTGTGATGTGTGCATTCAACTCACAGCGTTGAAACTTCCTTTTGCCAGAGCAGTTTTGAAACCCTCTTTTTGAAGAATCTGAAAGTGCATAATTGCAGCACTTTGAGGCTTAAGGTCGAAAAGGAAATATCTTCATATAAAAACTAGACAGAAGCATTCTCAGAAACTACTTTGTGATGTGTGCATTCTACTCACATAGTTGAAATTTCCTTCTGATACTGCAGTTTTGAAACAGTCTTTTTGAGGGATCTTCAAGTGGGCATTTTGAGGGCTTTGGGGACTATTGTGGATAAGGAAATATCTTCACATGAAAAGTAGACAGAAGTGTTCTCAGAAACTTCATTTTGATGGGTGCATTCCACTAACAAAGTACAACCTTACTTTTATAGAGCAGTTTTGAAACAGTCTTTTTGTAGACTCTGCAAGTGGATATTTGGAGCGCTTTGAAGCCTTCGTTGGAAACGGGAATATCTTCCCCTTGAAACTAGACAGAAGCATTCTCAGAAACTTCTTTGTGATGTGGGCATTGAACTCACGGAGCTGAACCTTCCTTTGGATTGAGCAGTTTTGAAAAACTCTTCCTTTATAATCTGCAGGTGGATATTTGGAGTGCTTTGAAGCCTTCTTTGGAAACGGGACTATCGTCACATAAAAATAGACAGAAGTATTCCCAGAAACTTCTTTGTGATTTGTGCATTCAACTCACAGAGTTGAAGCTTCTTTTTGATAGAGCAGTTTTGAAACACCCTTTTTGCACAATCTGCAGGAGGATATTTGGAGCTCTTTGAGTGCTACATTGGAAACGGGAATATCGTCACCTAAAAACTAGAAAGAAGCATTCTCTGAAACCACTTTGTGATGTGTGCATTCATCTCACAGAGTTGAACCTTCCTTTTGATAGAGCAGTTTTGAAACCCTCTTTTTGTACAATCTGCAAGTGGATATTTGGAGCAAATTGAAGCCTTCTTTGGAAATTGGAATATCTTAAATCTAAAAATTAGGCAGAAGCATTCTCAGAAACTACTTTGTGATGTGTGCATTCAACTCACAGAATTGAACCTTCCTTTTGATACAGCAGTTTTGAAACACTCTTTTTTCAGAATCTGCAAGTGGATATTTGGAGCACATTTATGCCTGTGGTAGAAAAGGAAATATCTTCACATAAAAACTAGACAGAAGCATTCTCAGAAACGAATTTGTGTTGTGTGCATTCTACTCCCATAGTTGAAAATTTCTTTTGATAGAGCAGTCTGGAAACACTCTGTTTCTAAAATCTGCAAATGGACATTTGGAGCGCTTTGAAGGTTATGATGGAAAAGGGAATATCTTCGCATTAAAACTAGACAGAAGCATTCTCAGAAACTTCTTTGTGATGTGTGCATTCAACTCCCAGGTTGAACCTTTCTTTTGTTAGAGCAGTTTTGAAACACTCCTTTTGTAGAATCTGCAGGCGGATATTTAAGTACTCTTTGAAGCATTCTTTGGAAACGAGAATATCTTCACCTAAAACCTAGACAGAAGCATTCTCAGAAACATCTTTGTGATGTGTCCATTCATCTCACAGAGTTGATAGAACAGTTTTGATAGAGCAGTTTTGAAACACTCTTTTTAAAGGATCTGCCAGTTCATATGTGCAGTGCTTTGAGGCTTATGGTAGAAAAGGAAATATCTTCATATAAAAACTAGACAGAAGCATTCTCAGAAACGACTTTGTGATGTGTGCATTCTACACACAAAGTTGAAACTTTCTTTTGATAGAGCAGTTTTGAAACAGTCTTTCCGAAGAATCTTCAAGTGGGCATTTCGAGGGCTTTGAGGACCATTGTGGATAAGGAAATATCTTCCCATAAGAAGTAGACAGAAGTATAATCAGAAACTTCATTTTGATGTGTACATTCAACTCACAAAGCAGACCCTTACTTTTGATAGAGAAGTTTTGAAACACTCTTTCTGTAGAATCTGCAATTGGATATTTGGAGCGCTTTCAGGCCTCTGGTAGAAAAGGAAATATCTTCACATAAAAACTAGACAGAAGCATTCTCAGAAACGACTTTGTGATGTGTGTATTCTACTCCCATAGTTGAACATTTCTTTTGATAGAGCCGCCTGGAAACAATCTTCTTGTAGAATCTGCAAGTGGACATTTGGAGCGTTTCGAAGGCTGTGGTTGAAAAGGTAATATCTTCACCTAAAAACTAAATGGAAGCATTGTCCGAAACTTTTTGTGATGTGTGCGTTCAACTCACAGAGCTGAACCTTCCTTTTCATAGACCAGTTTTGAATCACTCTTTTTGTAGAATCCGCATTTAGATATTTGGAGCGCTTTGAAGACTTCATTGGAATCGCGAATACCTTCACATAAAAACTAGACAGAACCATTCTCAGAAACTTCTTTGAGATGTGTGCATTCAACTCACAGAGCTGAACCTTTCTTTTGATAGTGCAGTTTTGAAACATTCTTCTTAAAAAATCTGCAGTTGGACATTTGGAGCTCTTTTAGGCTATCGGTTGAAAAGGAAATATCTTCACATTAAAACAAGACAGAAGCATTCTCAGAAACTCCTTTATGATGTCTGCATTCAACTCACAGAGTTGAACCTTCCTTTTGATAGAGCAGTTTTGAAACACTCTTTCTGTAGAATCTGGAGGCGGATATTAGGGTGCTTTGAAGCCTTCTTGGGAAACAGGATTATCTTCACATAAAAATTAGACAGAAGCATTCTCAGAAACTTCTTTGTGATGTGTGCATTCAACTCACAGCGTTGAAACTTCCTTTTGCCAGAGCAGTTTTGAAACCCTCTTTTTGAAGAATCTGAAAGTGCATAATTGCAGCACTTTGAGGCTTAAGGTCGAAAAGGAAATATCTTCATATAAAAACTAGACAGAAGCATTCTCAGAAACTACTTTGTGATGTGTGCATTCTACTCACATAGTTGAAATTTCCTTCTGATACTGCAGTTTTGAAACAGTCTTTTTGAGGGATCTTCAAGTGGGCATTTTGAGGGCTTTGGGGACTATTGTGGATAAGGAAATATCTTCACATGAAAAGTAGACAGAAGTGTTCTCAGAAACTTCATTTTGATGGGTGCATTCCACTAACAAAGGACAACCTTACTTTTATAGAGCAGTTTTGAAACAGTCTTTTTGTAGACTCTGCAAGTGGATATTTGGAGCGCTTTGAAGCCTTCGTTGGAAACGGGAATATCTTCCCCTTGAAACCAGACAGAAGCATTCTCAGAAACTTCTTTGTGATGTGGGCATTGAACTCACGGAGCTGAACCTTCCTTTGGATTGAGCAGTTTTGAAAAACTCTTCCTTTATAATCTGCAGGTGGATATTTGGAGTGCTTTGAAGCCTTCTTTGGAAACGGGAGTATCGTCACATAAAAATAGACAGAAGTATTCCCAGAAACTTCTTTGTGATTTGTGCATTCAACTCACAGAGTTGAAGCTTCTTTTTGATAGAGCAGTTTTGAAACACCCTTTTTGCACAATCTGCAGGAGGATATTTGGAGCTCTTTGAGTGCTACATTGGAAACGGGAATATCGTCACCTAAAAACTAGAAAGAAGCATTCTCTGAAACCACTTTGTGATGTGTGCATTCATCTCACAGAGTTGAACCTTCCTTTTGATAGAGCAGTTTTGAAACCCTCTTTTTGTACAATCTGCAAGTGGATATTTGGAGCAAATTGAAGCCTTCTTTGGAAATGGGAATATCTTAAATCTAAAAATTAGGCAGAAGCATTCTCCGAAACTACTTTGTGATGTGTGCATTCAACTCACAGAATTGAACCTTCCTTTTGATACAGCAGTTTTGAAACACTCTTTGTTTAGAATCTGCAAGTGGATATTTGGAGCACATTTATGCCTGTGGTAGAAAAGGAAATATCTTCACATAAAAACTAGACAGAAGCATTCTCAGAAACGAATTTGTGTTGTGTGCATTCTACTCCCATAGTTGAAAATTTCTTTTGATAGAGCAGTCTGGAACCACTCTGTTTCTAAAATCTGCAAATGGACATTTGGAGCGCTTTGAAGGTTATGATGGAAAAGGGAATATCTTCGCATTAAAACTAGACAGAAGCATTCTCAGAAACTTCTTTGTGATGTGTGCATTCAACTCCCAGGTTGAACCTTTCTTTTGTTAGAGCAGTTTTGAAACACTCCTTTTGTAGAATCTGCAGGCGGATATTGAAGTACTCTTTGAAGCATTCTTTGGAAACGAGAATATCTTCACCTAAAACCTAGACAGAAGCATTCTCAGAAACATCTTTGTGATGTGTCCATTCATCTCACAGAGTTGATAGAACAGTTTTGATAGAGCAGTTTTGAAACACTCTTTTTAAAGAATCTGCCAGTTCATATGTGCAGTGCTTTGAGGCTTATGGTAGAAAAGGAAATATCTTCCTATAAAAACTAGACAGAAGCATTCTCAGAAACGACTTTGTGATGTGTGCATTCTACACACAAAGTTGAAACTTTCTTTTGATAGAGCAGTTTTGAAACCGTCTTTCCGAAGAATATTCAAGTGGGCATTTCGAGGGCTTTGAGGACCATTGCGGATAAGGAAATATCTTCCCATAAGAAGTAGACAGAAGTATAATCAGAAACTTCATTTTGATGTGTACATTCAACTCACAAAGCAGACCCTTACTTTTGATAGAGAAGTTTTGAAACACTCTTTTTGTAGAATCTGCAATTGGATATTTGGAGCGCTTTCAGGCCTCTGGTAGAAAAGGAAATATCTTCACATAAAAACTAGACAGAAGCATTCTCAGAAACGACTTTGTGATGTGTGTATTCTACTCCCATAGTTGAACATTTCTTTTGATAGAGCCGCCTGGAAACAATCTTCTTGTACAATCTGCAAGTGGACATTTGGAGCGTTTCGAAGGCTGTGGTTGAAAAGGTAATATCTTCACCTAAAAACTAAATGGAAGCATTGTCGGAAACTTTTTGTGATGTGTGTGTTCAACTCACAGAGCTGAACCTTCCTTTTCATAGACCAGTTTTGAATCACTCTTTTTGTAGAATCCGCATTTAGATATTTGGAGCGCTTTGAAGACTTCATTGGAATCGCGAATACCTTCACATAAAAACTAGACAGAACCATTCTCAGAAACTTCTTTGAGATGTGTGCATTCAACTCACAGAGCTGAACCTTTCTTTTGATAGTGCAGTGTTGAAACATTCTTTTTAAAAAATCTGCAGTTGGACATTTGGAGCTCTTTTAGGCTATCGGTTGAAAAGGAAATATCTTCACATTAAAACAAGACAGAAGCATTCTCAGAAACTCCTTTATGATGTCTGCATTCAACTCACAGAGTTGAACCTTCCTTTTGATAGAGCAGTTTTGAAACACTCTTTCTGTAGAATCTGGAGGCGGATATTAGGGTGCTTTGAAGCCTTCTTGGGAAACAGGATTATCTTCACATAAAAATTAGACAGAAGCATTCTCAGAAACTTCTTTGTGATGTGTGCATTCAACTCACAGCGTTGAAACTTCCTTTTGCCAGAGCAGTTTTGAAACCCTCTTTTTGAAGAATCTGAAAGTGCATAATTGCAGCACTTTGAGGCTTAAGGTCGAAAAGGAAATATCTTCATATAAAAACTAGACAGAAGCATTCTCAGAAACTACTTTGTGATGTGTGCATTCTACTCACATAGTTGAAATTTCCTTCTGATACTGCAGTTTTGAAACAGTCTTTTTGAGGGATCTTCAAGTGGGCATTTTGAGGGCTTTGGGGACTATTGTGGATAAGGAAATATCTTCACATGAAAAGTAGACAGAAGTGTTCTCAGAAACTTCATTTTGATGGGTGCATTCCACTAAAAAAGTACAACCTTACTTTTATAGAGCAGTTTTGAAACAGTCTTTTTGTAGACTCTGCAAGCGGATATTTGGAGCGCTTTGAAGCCTTCGTTGGAAACGGGAATATCTTCCCCTTGAAACCAGACAGAAGCATTCTCAGAAACTTCTTTGTGATGTGGGCATTGAACTCACGGAGCTGAACCTTCCTTTGGATTGAGCAGTTTTGAAAAACTCTTCCTTTATAATCTGCAGGTGGATATTTGGAGTGCTTTGAAGCCTTCTTTGGAAACGGGAGTATCGTCACATAAAAATAGACAGAAGTATTCCCAGAAACTTCTTTGTGATTTGTGCATTCAACTCACAGAGTTGAAGCTTCTTTTTGATAGAGCAGTTTTGAAACACCCTTTTTGCACAATCTGCAGGAGGATATTTGGAGCTCTTTGAGTGCTACATTGGAAACGGGAATATCGTCACCTGAAAACTAGAAAGAAGCATTCTCTGAAACCACTTTGTGATGTGTGCATTCATCTCACAGAGTTGAACCTTCCTTTTGATAGAGCAGTTTTGAAACCCTCTTTTTGTACAATCTGCAAGTGGATATTTGGAGCAAATTGAAGCCTTCTTTGGAAATGGGAATATCTTAAATCTAAAAATTAGGCAGAAGCATTCTCAGAAACTACTTTGTGATGTGTGCATTCAACTCACAGAATTGAACCTTCCTTTTGATACAGCAGTTTTGAAACACTCTTTGTTTAGAATCTGCAAGTGGATATTTGGAGCACATTTATGCCTGTGGTAGAAAAGGAAATATCTTCACATAAAAACTAGACAGAAGCATTCTCAGAAACGAATTTGTGTTGTGTGCATTCTACTCCCATAGTTGAAAATTTCTTTTGATAGAGCAGTCTGGAACCACTCTGTTTCTAAAATCTGCAAATGGACATTTGGAGCGCTTTGAAGGTTATGATGGAAAAGGGAATATCTTCGCATTAAAACTAGACAGAAGCATTCTCAGAAACTTCTTTGTGATGTGTGCATTCAACTCCCAGGTTGAACCTTTCTTTTGTTAGAGCAGTTTTGAAACACTCCTTTTGTAGAATCTGCGGGCGGATATTTAAGTACTCTTTGAAGCATTCTTTGGAAACGAGAATATCTTCACCTAAAACCTAGACAGAAGCATTCTAAGAAACATCTTTGTGATGTGACCATTCATCTCACAGAGTTGATAGAACAGTTTTGATAGAGCAGTTTTGAAACACTCTTTTTAAAGAATCTGCCAGTTCATATGTGCAGTGCTTTGAGGCTTATGGCAGAAAAGGAAATATCTTCATATAAAAACTAGACAGAAGCATTCTCAGAAACGACTTTGTGATGTGTGCATTCTACACACAAAGTTGAAACTTTCTTTTGATAGAGCAGTTTTGAAACCGTCTTTCCGAAGAATCTTCAAGTGGGCATTTCGAGGGCTTTGAGGACCATTGCGGATAAGGAAATATCTTCCCATAAGAAGTAGACAGAAGTATAATCAGAAACTTCATTTTGATGTGTACATTCAACTCACAAAGCAGACCCTTACTTTTGATAGAGAAGTTTTGAAACAGTCTTTTTGTAGAATCTGCAATTGGATATTTGGAGCGCTTTCAGGCCTCTGGTAGAAAAGGAAATATCTTCACATAAAAACTAGACAGAAGCATTCTCAGAAACGACTTTGTGATGTGTGTATTCTACTCCCATAGTTGAACATTTCTTTTGATAGAGCCGCCTGGAAACAATCTTCTTGTAGAATCTGCAAGTGGACATTTGGAGCGTTTCGAAGGCTGTGGTTGAAAAGGTAATATCTTCACCTAAAAACTAAATGGAAGCATTGTCCGAAACGTTTTGTGATGTGTGCGTTCAACTCACAGAGCTGAACCTTCCTTTTCATAGACCAGTTTTGAATCACTCTTTTTGTAGAATCCACATTTAGATATTTGGAGCGCTTTGAAGACTTCATTGGAATCGCGAATACCTTCACATAAAAACTAGACAGAACCATTCTCAGAAACTTCTTTGAGATGTGTGCATTCAACTCACAGAGCTGAACCTTTCTTTTGATAGTGCAGTTTTGAAACATTCTTTTTAAAAAATCTGCAGTTGGACATTTGGAGCTCTTTTAGGCTATCGGTTGAAAAGGAAATATCTTCACATTAAAACAAGACAGAAGCATTCTCAGAAACTCCTTTATGATGTCTGCATTCAACTCACAGAGTTGAACCTTCCTTTCCATA
Organism: Homo sapiens; assembly: GCF_000001405.40. NCBI lineage: Eukaryota > Metazoa > Chordata > Mammalia > Primates > Hominidae > Homo > Homo sapiens. Next base: position 61,151,314 of record NC_000007.14, read on the forward strand.
GAGCAGTTTTGAAACACTCTTTCTGTAGAATCTGGAGGCGGATATTAGGGTGCTTTGAAGCCTTCTTGGGAAACAGGATTATCTTCACATAAAAATTAGACAGAAGCATTCTCAGAAACTTCTTTGTGATGTGTGCATTCAACTCACAGCGTTGAAACTTCCTTTTGCCAGAGCAGTTTTGAAACCCTCTTTTTGAAGAATCTGAAAGTGCATAATTGCAGCACTTTGAGGCTTAAGGTCGAAAAGGAAATATCTTCATATAAAAGCTAGACAGAAGCATTCTCAGAAACTACTTTGTGATGTGTGCATTCTACTCACATAGTTGAAATTTCCTTCTGATACTGCAGTTTTGAAACAGTCTTTTTGAGGGATCTTCAAGTGGGCATTTTGAGGGCTTTGGGGACTATTGTGGATAAGGAAATATCTTCACATGAAAAGTAGACAGAAGTGTTCTCAGAAACTTCATTTTGATGGGTGCATTCCACTAACAAAGTACAACCTTACTTTTATAGAGCAGTTTTGAAACAGTCTTTTTGTAGACTCTGCAAGTGGATATTTGGAGCGCTTTGAAGCCTTCGTTGGAAACGGGAATATCTTCCCCTTGAAACTAGACAGAAGCATTCTCAGAAACTTCTTTGTGATGTGGGCATTGAACTCACGGAGCTGAACCTTCCTTTGGATTGAGCAGTTTTGACAAACTCTTCCTTTATAATCTGCAGGTGGATATTTGGAGTGCTTTGAAGCCTTCTTTGGAAACGGGAGTATCGTCACATAAAAATAGACAGAAGTATTCCCAGAAACTTCTTTGTGATTTGTGCATTCAACTCACAGAGTTGAAGCTTCTTTTTGATAGAGCAGTTTTGAAACACCCTTTTTGCACAATCTGCAGGAGGATATTTGGAGCTCTTTGAGTGCTACATTGGAAACGGGAATATCGTCACCTAAAAACTAGAAAGAAGCATTCTCTGAAACCACTTTGTGATGTGTGCATTCATCTCACAGAGTTGAACCTTCCTTTTGATAGAGCAGTTTTGAAACCCTCTTTTTGTACAATCTGCAAGTGGATATTTGGAGCAAATTGAAGCCTTCTTTGGAAATGGGAAATCTTAAATCTAAAAATTAGGCAGAAGCATTCTCAGAAACTACTTTGTGATGTGTGCATTCAACTCACAGAATTGAACCTTCCTTTTGATACAGCAGTTTTGAAACACTCTTTTTTTAGAATCGGCAAGTGGATATTTGGAGCACATTTATGCCTGTGGTAGAAAAGGAAATATCTTCACATAAAAACTAGACAGAAGCATTCTCAGAAACGAATTTGTGTTGTGTGCATTCTACTCCCATAGTTGAAAATTTCTTTTGATAGAGCAGTCTGGAAACACTCTGTTTCTAAAATCTGCAAATGGACATTTGGAGCGCTTTGAAGGTTATGATGGAAAAGGGAATATCTTCGCATTAAAACTAGACAGAAGCATTCTCAGAAACTTCTTTGTGATGTGTGCATTCAACTCCCAGGTTGAACCTTTCTTTTGTTAGAGCAGTTTTGAAACACTCCTTCTGTAGAATCTGCAGGCGGATATTTAAGTACTCTTTGAAGCATTCTTTGGAAACGAGAATATCTTCACCTAAAACCTAGACAGAAGCATTCTCAGAAACATCTTTGTGATGTGTCCATTCATCTCACAGAGTTGATAGAACAGTTTTGATAGAGCAGTTTTGAAACACTCTTTTTAAAGAATCTGCCAATTCATATGTGCAGTGCTTTGAGGCTTATGGTAGAAAAGGAAATATCTTCATATAAAAAGTAGACAGAAGCATTCTCAGAAACGACTTTGTGATGTGTGCATTCTACACACAAAGTTGAAACTTTCTTTTGATAGAGCAGTTTTGAAACCGTCTTTCCGAAGAATCTTCAAGTAGGCATTTCGAGGGCTTTGAGGACCATTGCGGATAAGGAAATATATTCCCATAAGAAGTAGACAGAAGTATAATCAGAAACTTCATTTTGATGTGTACATTCAACTCACAAAGCAGACCCTTACTTTTGATAGAGAAGTTTTGAAACACTCTTTTTGTAGAATCTGCAATTCGATGTTTGGAGCGGTTTCAGGCCTCTGGTAGAAAAGGAAATATCTTCACATAAAAACAAGACAGAAGCATTCTCAGAAACAACTTTGTGATGTGTGTATTCTACTCCCATAGTTGAACATTTCTTTTGATAGAGCCGCCTGGAAACAATCTTCTTGTAGAATCTGCAAGTGGACATTTGGAGCGTTTCGAAGGCTGTGGTTGAAAAGGTAATATCTTCACCTAAAAACTAAATGGAAGCATTGTCCGAAACTTTTTGTGATGTGTGCGTTCAACTCACAGAGCTGAACCTTCCTTTTCATAGAGCAGTTTTGAATCACTCTTTTTGTAGAATCCGCATTTAGATATTTGGAGCGCTTTGAAGACTTCATCGGAATCGCGAATACCTTCACATAAAAACTAGACAGAACCATTCTCAGAAACTTCTTTGAGATGTGTGCATTCAACTCACAGAGCTGAACCTTTCTTTTGATAGTGCAGTTTTGAAACATTCTTTTTAAAAAATCTGCAGTTGGACATTTGGAGCTCTTTTAGGCTATCGGTTGAAAAGGAAATATCTTCACATTAAAACAAGACAGAAGCATTCTCAGAAACTCCTTTATGATGTCTGCATTCAACTCACAGAGTTGAACCTTCCTTTCCATAGAGCAGTTTTGAAACACTCTTTCTGTAGAATCTGGAGGCGGATATTAGGGTGCTTTGAAGCCTTCTTGGGAAACAGGATTATCTTCACATAAAAATTAGACAGAAGCATTCTCAGAAACTTCTTTGTGATGTGTGCATTCAACTCACAGCGTTGAAACTTCCTTTTGCCAGAGCAGTTTTGGAACCCTCTTTTTGAAGTATCTGAAAGTGCATAATTGCAGCACTTTGAGGCTTAAGGTCGAAAAGGAAATATCTTCATATAAAAACTAGACAGAAGCATTCTCAGAAACTACTTTGTGATGTGTGCATTCTACTCACATAGTTGAAATTTCCTTCTGATACTGCAGTTTTGAAACAGTCTTTTTGAGTGATCTTCAAGTGGGCATTTTGAGGACTTTGGGGACTATTGTGGATAAGGAAATATCTTCACATGAAAAGTAGACAGAAGTGTTCTCAGAAACTTCATTTTGATGGGTGCATTCCACTAACAAAGTACAACCTTACTTTTATAGAGCAGTTTTGAAACAGTCTTTTTGTAGACTCTGCAAGTGGATATTTGGAGCGCTTTGAAGCCTTCGTTGGAAACGGGAATATCTTCCCCTTGAAACTAGACAGAAGCATTCTCAGAAACTTCTTTGTGATGTGGGCATTGAACTCACGGAGCTGAACCTTCCTTTGGATTGAGCAGTTTTGAAAAACTCTTCCTTTATAATCTGCAGGTGGATATTTGGAGTGCTTTGAAGCCTTCTTTGGAAACGGGAGTATCGTCACATAAAAATAGACAGAAGTATTCCCAGAAACTTCTTTGTGATTTGTGCATTCAACTCACAGAGTTGAAGCTTCTTTTTGATAGAGCAGTTTTGAAACACCCTTTTTGCACAATCTGCAGGAGGATATTTGGAGCTCTTTGAGTGCTACATTGGAAACGGGAATATCGTCACCTAAAAACTAGAAAGAAGCATTCTCTGAAACCACTTTGCGATGTGTGCATTCATCTCACAGAGTTGAACCTTCCTGTTGATAGAGCAGTTTTGAAACCCTCTTTTTGTACAATCTGCAAGTGGATATTTGGAGCAAATTGAAGCCTTCTTTGGAAATTGGAATATCTTAAAACTAAAAATTAGGCAGAAGCATTCTCAGAAACTGCTTTGTGATGCGTGCATTCAACTCACAGAATTGAACCTTCCTTTTGATACAGCAGTTTTGAAACACTCTTTTTTCAGAATCTGCAAGTGGATATTTGGAGCACATTTATGCCTCTGGTAGAAAAGGAAATATCTTCACATAAAAACTAGACAGAAGCATTCTCAGAAACGAATTTGTGTTGTGTGCATTCTACTCCCATAGTTGAAAATTTCTTTTGATAGAGCAGTCTGGAAACACTCTGTTTCTAAAATCTGCAAATGGACATTTGGAGCGCTTTGAAGGTTATGATGGAAAAGGGAATATCTTCGCATTAAAACTAGACAGAAGCATTCTCAGAAACTTCTTTGTGATGTGTGCATTCAACTCCCAGGTTGAAACTTTCTTTTGTTAGAGCAGTTTTGAAACACTCCTTTTGTAGAATCTGCAGGCGGATATTTAAGTACTCTTTGAAGCATTCTTTGGAAACGAGAATATCTTCACCTAAAACCTAGACAGAAGCATTCTCAGAAACATCTTTGTGATGTGTCCATTCATCTCACAGAGTTGATAGAACAGTTTTGATAGAGCAGTTTTGATACACTCTTTTTAAAGGATCTGCCTGTTCATATGTGCAGTGCTTTGAGGCTTATGGTAGAAAAGGAAATATCTTCATATAAAAACTAGACAGAAGCATTCTCAGAAACGACTTTGTGATGTGTGCATTCTACACACAAAGTTGAAACTTTCTTTTGATAGAGTAGTTTTGAAATCGTCTTTCCGAAGAATCTTCAAGTGGGCATTTCGAGGGCTTTGAGGACCATTGCGGATAAGGAAATATCTTCCCATAAGAAGTAGACAGAAGTATAATCAGAAACTTCATTTTGATGTGTACATTCAACTCACAAAGCAGACCCTAACTTTTGATAGAGAAGTTTTGAAACACTCTTTTTGTAGAATCTGCAATTGGATGTTTGGAGCGCTTTCAGGCCTCTGGTAGAAAAGGAAATATCTTCACATAAAAACTAGACAGAAGCATTCCCAGAAACGACTTTGTGATGTGTGTATTCTACTCCCATAGTTGAACATTTCTTTTGATAGAGCCGCCTGGAAACAATCTTCTTGTAGAATCTGCAAGTGGACATTTGGAGCGTTTTGAAGGCTGTGGTTGAAAAGGTAATATCTTCACCTAAAAACTAAATGGAAGCATTCTCCGAAACTTTTTGTGATGTGTGCGTTCAACTCACAGAGCTGAACCTTCCTTTTCATAGACCAGTTTTCAATCACTCTTTTTGTAGAATCCGCATTTAGATATTTGGAGCGCTTTGAAGACTTCATTGGAATCGCGAATACCTTCACATAAAAACTAGACAGAACCATTCTCAGAAACTTCTTTGAGATGTGTGCATTCAACTCACAGAGCTGAACCTTTCTTTTGATAGTGCAGTTTTGAAACATTCTTTTTAAAAAATCTGCAGTTGGACATTTGGAGCTCTTTTAGGCTATCGGTTGAAAAGGAAATATCTTCACATTAAAACAAGACAGAAGCATTCTCAGAAACTCCTTTATGATGTCTGCATTCAACTCACAGAGTTGAACCTTCCTTTCCATAGAGCAGTTTTGAAACACTCTTTCTGTAGAATCTGGAGGTGGATATTAGGGTGCTTTGAAGCCTTCTTGGGAAACAGGATTATCTTCACATAAAAATTAGACAGAAGCATTCTCAGAAACTTCTTTGTGATGTGTGCATTCAACTCACAGCGTTGAAACTTCCTTTTGCCAGAGCAGTTTTGAAACCCTCTTTTTGAAGAATCTGAAAGTGCATAATTGCAGCACTTTGAGGCTTAAGGTCGAAAAGGAAATATCTTCATATAAAAACTAGACAGAAGCATTCTCAGAAACTACTTTGTGATGTGTGCATTCTACTCACATAGTTGAAATTTCCTTCTGATACTGCAGTTTTGAAACAGTCTTTTTGAGGGATCTTCAAGTGGGCATTTTGAGGGCTTTCGGGACTATTGTGGATAAGGAAATATCTTCACATGAAAAGTAGACAGAAGTGTTCTCAGAAACTTCATTTTGATGGGTGCATTCCACTAACAAAGTACAACCTTACTTTTATAGAGCAGTTTTGAAACAGTCTTTTTGTAGACTCTGCAAGTGGATATTTGGAGCGCTTTGAAGCCTTCGTTGGAAACGGGAATATCTTCCCCTTGAAACCAGACAGAAGCATTCTCAGAAACTTCTTTGTGATGTGGGCATTGAACTCACGGAGCTGAACCTTCCTTTGGATTGAGCAGTTTTGAAAAACTCTTCCTTTATAATCTGCAGGTGGATATTTGGAGTGCTTTGAAGCCTTCTTTGGAAACGGGAGTATCGTCACATAAAAATAGACAGAAGTATTCCCAGAAACTTCTTTGTGATTTGTGCATTCAACTCACAGAGTTGAAGCTTCTTTTTGATAGAGCAGTTTTGAAACACCCTTTTTGCACAATCTGCAGGAGGATATTTGGAGCTCTTTGAGTGCTACATTGGAAACGGGAATATCGTCACCTGAAAACTAGAAAGAAGCATTCTCTGAAACCACTTTGTGATGTGTGCATTCATCTCACAGAGTTGAACCTTCCTTTTGATAGAGCAGTTTTGAAACCCTCTTTTTGTACAATCTGCAAGTGGATATTTGGAGCAAATTGAAGCCTTCTTTGGAAATGGGAATATCTTAAATCTAAAAATTAGGCAGAAGCATTCTCAGAAACTACTTTGTGATGTGTGCATTCAACTCACAGAATTGAACCTTCCTTTTGATACAGCAGTTTTGAAACACTCTTTGTTTAGAATCTGCAAGTGGATATTTGGAGCACATTTATGCCTGTGGTAGAAAAGGAAATATCTTCACATAAAAACTAGACAGAAGCATTCTCAGAAACGAATTTGTGTTGTGTGCATTCTACTCCCATAGTTGAAAATTTCTTTTGATAGAGCAGTCTGCAACCACTCTGTTTCTAAAATCTGCAAATGGACATTTGGAGCGCTTTGAAGGTTATGATGGAAAAGGGAATATCTTCGCATTAAAACTAGACAGAAGCATTCTCAGAAACTTCTTTGTGATGTGTGCATTCAACTCCCAGGTTGAACCTTTCTTTTCATAGAGCAGTTTTGAAACACTCCTTTTGTAGAATCTGCAGGCGGATATTTAAGTACTCTTTGAAGCATTCTTTGGAAACGAGAATATCTTCACCTAAAACCTAGACAGAAGCATTCTCAGAAACATCTTTGTGATGTGTCCATTCATCTCAGAGAGTTGGTAGAACAGTTTTGATAGAGCAGTTTTGAAACACTCTTTTTAAAGAATCTGCCAGTTCATATGTGCAGTGCTTTGAGGCTTATGGTAGAAAAGGAAATATCTTCCTATAAAAACTAGACAGAAGCATTCTCAGAAACGACTTTGTGATGTGTGCATTCTACACACAAAGTTGAAACTTTCTTTTGATAGAGCAGTTTTGAAACCGTCTTTCCGAAGAATCTTCAAGTGGGCATTTCGAGAGCTTTGAGGACCATTGCGGATAAGGAAATATCTTCCCATAAGAAGTAGACAGAAGTATAATCAGAAACTTCATTTCGATGTGTACATTCAACTCACAAAGCAGACCCTTACTTTTGATAGAGAAGTTTTGAAACACTCTTTTTGTAGAATCTGCAATTGGATGTTTGGAGCGCTTTCAGGCCTCTGGTAGAAAAGGAAATATCTTCACATAAAAACTAGACAGAAGCATTCTCAGAAACGACTTTGTGATGTGTGTATTCTACTCCCATAGTTGAACATTTCTTTTGATAGAGCCGCCTGGAAACAATCTTCTTGTAGAATCTGCAAGTGGACATTTGGAGCGTTTTGAAGGCTGTGGTTGAAAAGGTAATATCTTCACCTAAAAACTAAATGGAAGCATTCTCCGAAACTTTTTGTGATGTGTGCGTTCAACTCACAGAGCTGAACCTTCCTTTTCATAGACCAGTTTTGAATCACTGTTTTTGTAGAATCCGCATTTAGATATTTGGAGCGCTTTGAAGACTTCATTGGAATCGCGAATACCTTCACATAAAAACTAGACAGAACCATTCTCAGAAACTTCTTTGAGATGTGTGCATTCAACTCACAGAGCTGAACCTTTCTTTTGATAGTGCAGTTTTGAAACATTCTTTTTAAAAAATCTGCAGTTGGACATTTGGAGCTCTTTTAGGCTATCGGTTGAAAAGGAAATATCTTCACATTAAAACAAGACAGAAGCATTCTCAGAAACTCCTTTATGATGTCTGCATTCAACTCACAGAGTTGAACCTTCCTTTCCATAGAGCAGTTTTGAAACACTCTTTCTGTAGAATCTGGAGGTGGATATTAGGGTGCTTTGAAGCCTTCTTGGGAAACAGGATTATCTTCACATAAAAATTAGACAGAAGCATTCTCAGAAACTTCTTTGTGATGTGTGCATTCAACTCACAGCGTTGAAACTTCCTTTTGCCAGAGCAGTTTTGAAACCCTCTTTTTGAAGAATCTGAAAGTGCATAATTGCAGCACTTTGAGGCTTAAGGTCGAAAAGGAAATATCTTCATATAAAAACTAGACAGAAGCATTCTCAGAAACTACTTTGTGATGTGTGCATTCTACTCACATAGTTGAAATTTCCTTCTGATACTGCAGTTTTGAAACAGTCTTTTTGAGGGATCTTCAAGTGGGCATTTTGAGGGCTTTCGGGACTATTGTGGATAAGGAAATATCTTCACATGAAAAGTAGACAGAAGTGTTCTCAGAAACTTCATTTTGATGGGTGCATTCCACTAACAAAGTACAACCTTACTTTTATAGAGCAGTTTTGAAACAGTCTTTTTGTAGACTCTGCAAGTGGATATTTGGAGCGCTTTGAAGCCTTCGTTGGAAACGGGAATATCTTCCCCTTGAAACCAGACAGAAGCATTCTCAGAAACTTCTTTGTGATGTGGGCATTGAACTCACGGAGCTGAACCATCCTTTGGATTGAGCAGTTTTGAAAAACTCTTCCTTTATAATCTGCAGGTGGATATTTGGAGTGCTTTGAAGCCTTCTTTGGAAACGGGAGTATCGTCACATAAAAATAGACAGAAGTATTCCCAGAAACTTCTTTGTGATTTGTGCATTCAACTCACAGAGTTGAAGCTTCTTTTTGATAGAGCAGTTTTGAAACACCCTTTTTGCACAATCTGCAGGAGGATATTTGGAGCTCTTTGAGTGCTACATTGGAAACGGGAATATCGTCACCTGAAAACTAGAAAGAAGCATTCTCTGAAACCACTTTGTGATGTGTGCATTCATCTCACAGAGTTGAACCTTCCTTTTGATAGAGCAGTTTTGAAACCCTCTTTTTGTACAATCTGCAAGTGGATATTTGGAGCAAATTGAAGCCTTCTTTGGAAATGGGAATATCTTAAATCTAAAAATTAGGCAGAAGCATTCTCAGAAACTACTTTGTGATGTGTGCATTCAACTCACAGAATTGAACCTTCCTTTTGATACAGCAGTTTTGAAACACTCTTTGTTTAGAATCTGCAAGTGGATATTTGGAGCACATTTATGCCTGTGGTAGAAAAGGAAATATCTTCACATAAAAACTAGACAGAAGCATTCTCAGAAACGAATTTGTGTTGTGTGCATTCTACTCCCATAGTTGAAAATTTCTTTTGATAGAGCAGTCTGCAACCACTCTGTTTCTAAAATCTGCAAATGGACATTTGGAGCGCTTTGAAGGTTATGATGGAAAAGGGAATATCTTCGCATTAAAACTAGACAGAAGCATTCTCAGAAACTTCTTTGTGATGTGTGCATTCAACTCCCAGGTTGAACCTTTCTTTTGTTAGAGCAGTTTTGAAACACTCCTTTTGTAGAATCTGCAGGCGGATATTTAAGTACTCTTTGAAGCATTCTTTGGAAACGAGAATATCTTCACCTAAAACCTAGACAGAAGCATTCTCAGAAACATCTTTGTGATGTGTCCATTCATCTCAGAGAGTTGGTAGAACAGTTTTGATAGAGCAGTTTTGAAACACTCTTTTTAAAGAATCTGCCAGTTCATATGTGCAGTGCTTTGAGGCTTATGGTAGAAAAGGAAATATCTTCCTATAAAAACTAGACAGAAGCATTCTCAGAAACGACTTTGTGATGTGTGCATTCTACACACAAAGTTGAAACTTTCTTTTGATAGAGCAGTTTCGAAACAGTCTTTCCGAAGAATCTTCAAGTGGGCATTTCGAGGGCTTTGAGGACCATTGCGGATAAGGAAATATCTTCCCATAAGAAGTAGACAGAAGTATAATCAGAAACTTCATTTTGATGTGTACATTCAACTCACAAAGCAGACCCTAACTTTTGATAGAGAAGTTTTGAAACACTCTTTTTGTAGAATCTGCAATTGGATGTTTGGAGCGCTTTCAGGCCTCTGGTAGAAAAGGAAATATCTTCACATAAAAACTAGACAGAAGCATTCCCAGAAACGACTTTGTGATGTGTGTATTCTACTCCCATAGTTGAACATTTCTTTTGATAGAGCCGCCTGGAAACAATCTTCTTGTAGAATCTGCAAGTGGACATTTGGAGCGTTTTGAAGGCTGTGGTTGAAAAGGTAATATCTTCACCTAAAAACTAAATGGAAGCATTCTCCGAAACTTTTTGTGATGTGTGCGTTCAACTCACAGAGCTGAACCTTCCTTTTCATAGACCAGTTTTCAATCACTCTTTTTGTAGAATCCGCATTTAGATATTTGGAGCGCTTTGAAGACTTCATTGGAATCGCGAATACCTTCACATAAAAACTAGACAGAACCATTCTCAGAAACTTCTTTGAGATGTGTGCATTCAACTCACAGAGCTGAACCTTTCTTTTGATAGTGCAGTTTTGAAACATTCTTTTTAAAAAATCTGCAGTTGGACATTTGGAGCTCTTTTAGGCTATCGGTTGAAAAGGAAATATCTTCACATTAAAACAAGACAGAAGCATTCTCAGAAACTCCTTTATGATGTCTGCATTCAACTCACAGAGTTGAACCTTCCTTTCCATAGAGCAGTTTTGAAACACTCTTTCTGTAGAATCTGGAGGCGGATATTAGGGTGCTTTGAAGCCTTCTTGGGAAACAGGATTATCTTCACATAAAAATTAGACAGAAGCATTCTCAGAAACTTCTTTGTGATGTGTGCATTCAACTCACAGCGTTGAAACTTCCTTTTGCCAGAGCAGTTTTGAAACCCTCTTTTTGAAGGATATGAAAGTGCATAATTGCAGCACTTTGAGGCTTAAGGTCGAAAAGGAAATATCTTCATATAAAAACTAGACAGAAGCATTCTCAGAAACTACTTTGTGATGTGTGCATTCTACTCACATAGTTGAAATTTCCTTCTGATACTGCAGTTTTGAAACAGTCTTTTTGAGGGATCTTCAAGTGGGCATTTTGAGGGCTTTCGGGACTATTGTGGATAAGGAAATATCTTCACATGAAAAGTAGACAGAAGGGTTCTCAGAAACTTCATTTTGATGGGTGCATTCCACTAACAAAGTACAACCTTACTTTTATAGAGCAGTTTTGAAACAGTCTTTTTGTAGACTCTGCAAGTGGATATTTGGAGCGCTTTGAAGCCTTCGTTGGAAACGGGAATATCTGCCACTTGAAACCAGACAGAAGCATTCTCAGAAACTTCTTTGTAATGTGGGCATTGAACTCACGGAGCTGAACCTTCCTTTGGATTGAGCAGTTTTGAAAAACTCTTCCTTTATAATCTGCAGGTGGATATTTGGAGTGCTTTGAAGCCTTCTTTGGAAACGGGAGTATCGTCACATAAAAATAGACAGAAGTATTCCCAGAAACTTCTTTGTGATTTGTGCATTCAACTCACAGAGTTGAAGCTTCTTTTTGATAGAGCAGTTTTGAAACACCCTTTTTGCACAATCTGCAGGAGGATATTTGGAGCTCTTTGAGTGCTACATTGGAAACGGGAATATCGTCACCTAAAAACTAGAAAGAAGCATTCTCTGAAACCACTTTGTGATGTGTGCATTCATCTCACAGAGTTGAACCTTCCTTTTGATAGAGCAGTTTTGATACCCTCTTTTTGTACAATCTGCAAGTGGATATTTGGAGCAAATTGAAGCCTTCTTTGGAAATGGGAATATCTTAAATCTAAAAATTAGGCAGAAGCATTCTCAGAAACTACTTTGTGATGTGTGCATTCAACTCACCGAATTGAACCTTCCTTTTGATACAGCAGTTTTGAAACACTCTTTGTTTAGAATCTGCAAGTGGATATTTGGAGCACATTTATGCCTGTGGTAGAAAAGGAAATATCTTCACATAAAAACTAGACAGAAGCATTCTCAGAAACGAATTTGTGTTGTGTGCATTCTACTCCCATAGTTGAAAATTTCTTTTGATAGAGCAGTCTGGAAACACTCTGTTTCTAAAATCTGCAAATGGACATTTGGAGCGCTTTGAAGGTTATGATGGAAAAGGGAATATCTTCGCATTAAAACTAGACAGAAGCATTCTCAGAAACTTCTTTGTGATGTGTGCATTCAACTCCCAGGTTGAACCTTTCTTTTGTTAGAGCAGTTTTGAAACACTCCTTTTGTAGAATCTGCAGGCGGATATTTAAGTACTCTTTGAAGCATTCTTTGGAAACGAGAATATCTTCACCTAAAACCTAGACAGAAGCATTCTCAGAAAGATCTTTGTGATGTGTCCATTCATCTCACAGAGTTGATAGAACAGTTTTGATAGAGCAGTTTTGAAACACTCTTTTTAAAGGATCTGCCAGTTCATATGTGCAGTGCTTTGAGGCTTATGGTAGAAAAGGAAATATCTTCATATAAAAACTAGACAGAAGCATTCTCAGAAACGACTTTGTGATGTGTGCATTCTACACACAAAGTTGAAACTTTCTTTTGATAGAGCAGTTTTGAAACAGTCTTTCCGAAGAATCTTCAAGTGGGCATTTCGAGGGCTTTGAGGACCATTGCGGATAAGGAAATATCTTCCCATAAGAAGTAGACAGAAGTATAATCAGAAACTTCATTTTGATGTGTACATTCAACTCACAAAGCAGACCCTTACTTTTGATAGAGAAGTTTTGAAACACTCTTTCTGTAGAATCTGCAATTGGATATTTGGAGCGCTTTCAGGCCTCTGGTAGAAAAGGAAATATCTTCACATAAAAACTAGACAGAAGCATTCTCAGAAACGACTTTGTGATGTGTGTATTCTACTCCCATAGTTGAACATTTCTTTTGATAGAGCCGCCTGGAAACAATCTTCTTGTAGAATCTGCAAGTGGACATTTGGAGCGTTTCGAAGGCTGTGGTTGAAAAGGTAATATCTTCACCTAAAAACTAAATGGAAGCATTGTCCGAAACTTTTTGTGATGTGTGCGTTCAACTCACAGAGCTGAACCTTCCTTTTCATAGACCAGTTTTGAATCACTCTTTTTGTAGAATCCGCATTTAGATATTTGGAGCGCTTTGAAGACTTCATTGGAATCGCGAATACCTTAACATAAAAACTAGACAGAACTATTCTCAGAAACTTCTTTGAGATGTGTGCATTCAACTCACAGAGCTGAACCTTTCTTTTGATAGTGCAGTTTTGAAACATTCTTTTTAAAAAATCTGCAGTTGGACATTTGGAGCTCTTTTAGGCTATCGGTTGAAAAGGAAATATCTTCACATTAAAACAAGACAGAAGCATTCTCAGAAACTCCTTTATGATGTCTGCATTCAACTCACAGAGTTGAACCTTCCTTTTGATAGAGCACTTTTGAAACACTCTTTCTGTAGAATCTGGAGGCGGATATTAGGGTGCTTTGAAGCCTTCTTGGGAAACAGGATTATCTTCACATAAAAATTAGACAGAAGCATTCTCAGAAACTTCTTTGTGATGTGTGCATTCAACTCACAGCGTTGAACCTTCCTTTTGCCAGAGCAGTTTTGAAACCCTCTTTTTGAAGAATCTGAAAGTGCATAATTGCAGCACTTTGAGGCTTAAGGTCGAAAAGGAAATATCTTCATATAAAAACTAGAGAGAAGCATTCTCAGAAACTACTTTGTGATGTGTGCATTCTACTCACATAGTTGAAATTTCCTTCTGATACTGCAGTTTTGAAACAGTCTTTTTGAGGGATCTTCAAGTGGGCATTTTGAGGGCTTTGGGGACTATTGTGGATAAGGAAATATCTTCACATGAAAAGTAGACAGAAGTGTTCTCAGAAACTTCATTTTGATGGGTGCATTCCACTAACAAAGGACAACCTTACTTTTATAGAGCAGTTTTGAAACAGTCTTTTTGTAGACTCTGCAAGTGGATATTTGGAGCGCTTTGAAGCCTTCGTTGGAAACGGGAATATCTTCCCCTTGAAACTAGACAGAAGCATTCTCAGAAACTTCTTTGTGATGTGGGCATTGAACTCACGGAGCTGAACCTTCCTTTGGATTGAGCAGTTTTGAAAAACTCTTCCTTTATAATCTGCAGGTGGATATTTGGAGTGCTTTGAAGCCTTCTTTGGAAACGGGAGTATCGTCACATAAAAATAGACAGAAGTATTCCCAGAAACTTCTTTGTGATTTGTGCATTCAACTCACAGAGTTGAAGCTTCTTTTTGATAGAGCAGTTTTGAAACACCCTTTTTGCACAATCTGCAGGAGGATATTTGGAGCTCTTTGAGTGCTACATTGGAAACGGGAATATCGTCACCTAAAAACTAGAAAGAAGCATTCTCTGAAACCACTTTGTGATGTGTGCATTCATCTCACAGAGTTGAACCTTCCTGTTGATAGAGCAGTTTTGAAACCCTCTTTTTGTACAATCTGCAAGTGGATATTTGGAGCAAATTGAAGCCTTCTTTGGAAATGGGAATATCTTAAAACTAAAAATTAGGCAGAAGCATTCTCAGAAACTGCTTTGTGATGTGTGCATTCAACTCACAGAATTGAACCTTCCTTTTGATACAGCAGTTTTGAAACACTCTTTTTTCAGAATCTGCAAGTGGATATTTGGAGCACATTTATGCCTGTGGTAGAAAAGGAAATATCTTCACATAAAAACTAGACAGAAGCATTCTCAGAAACGAATTTGTGTTGTGTGCATTCTACTCCCATAGTTGAAAATTTCTTTTGATAGAGCAGTCTGGAACCACTCTGTTTCTAAAATCTGCAAATGGACATTTGGAGCGCTTTGAAGGTTATGATGGAAAAGGGAATATCTTCGCATTAAAACTAGACAGAAGCACTCTCAGAAACTTCTTTGTGATGTGTGCATTCAACTCCCAGGTTGAACCTTTCTTTTGTTAGAGCAGTTTCGAAACACTCCTTTTGTAGAATCTGCAGGCGGATATTTAAGTACTCTTTGAAGCATTCTTTGGAAACGAGAATATCTTCACCTAAAACCTAGACAGAAGCATTCTCAGAAACATCTTTGTGATGTGTCCATTCATCTCACAGAGTTGATAGAACAGTTTTGATAGAGCAGTTTTGAAACACTCTTTTTAAAGGATCTGCCAGTTCATATGTGCAGTGCTTTGAGGCTTATGGTAGAAAAGGAAATATCTTCATATAAAAACTAGACAGAAGCATTCTCAGAAACGACTTTGTGATGTGTGCATTCTACACACAAAGTTGAAACTTTCTTTTGATAGAGCAGTTTTGAAACAGTCTTTCCGAAGAATCTTCAAGTGGGCATTTCGAGGGCTTTGAGGACCATTGCGGATAAGGAAATATCTTCCCATAAGAAGTAGACAGAAGTATAATCAGAAACTTCATTTTGATGTGTACATTCAACTCACAAAGCAGACCCTTACTTTTGATAGAGAAGTTTTGAAACAGTCTTTTTGTAGAATCTGCAATTGGATATTTGGAGCGCTTTCAGGCCTCTGGTAGAAAAGGAAATATCTTCACATAAAAACTAGACAGAAGCATTCTCAGAAACGACTTTGTGATGTGTGTATTCTACTCCCATAGTTGAACATTTCTTTTGATAGAGCCGCCTGGAAACAATCTTCTTGTAGAATCTGCAAGTGGACATTTGGAGCGTTTCGAAGGCTGTGGTTGAAAAGGTAATATCTTCACCTAAAAACTAAATGGAAGCATTGTCCGAAACGTTTTGTGATGTGTGCGTTCAACTCACAGAGCTGAACCTTCCTTTTCATAGACCAGTTTTGAATCACTCTTTTTGTAGAATCCACATTTAGAGATTTGGAGCGCTTTGAAGACTTCATTGGAATCGCGAATACCTTCACATAAAAACTAGACAGAACCATTCTCAGAAACTTCTTTGAGATGTGTGCATTCAACTCACAGAGCTGAACCTTTCTTTTGATAGTGCAGTTTTGAAACATTCTTTTTAAAAAATCTGCAGTTGGACATTTGGAGCTCTTTTAGGCTATCGGTTGAAAAGGAAATATCTTCACATTAAAACAAGACAGAAGCATTCTCAGAAACTCCTTTATGATGTCTGCATTCAACTCACAGAGTTGAACCTTCCTTTCCATAGAGCAGTTTTGAAACACTCTTTCTGTAGAATCTGGAGGCGGATATTAGGGTGCTTTGAAGCCTTCTTGGGAAACAGGATTATCTTCACATAAAAATTAGACAGAAGCATTCTCAGAAACTTCTTTGTGATGTGTGCATTCAACTCACAGCGTTGAAACTTCCTTTTGCCAGAGCAGTTTTCAAACCCTCTTTTTGAAGAATCTGAAAGTGCATAATTGCAGCACTTTGAGGCTTAAGGTCGAAAAGGAAATATCTTCATATAAAAACTAGACAGAAGCATTCTCAGAAACTACTTTGTGATGTGTGCATTCTACTCACATAGTTGAAATTTCCTTCTGATACTGCAGTTTTGAAACAGTCTTTTTGAGGGATCTTCAAGTGGGCATTTTGAGGGCTTTGGGGACTATTGTGGATAAGGAAATATCTTCACATGAAAAGTAGACAGAAGTGTTCTCAGAAACTTCATTTTGATGGGTGCATTCCACTAACAAAGTACAACCTTACTTTTATAGAGCAGTTTTGAAACAGTCTTTTTGTAGACTCTGCAAGCGGATATTTGGAGCGCTTTGAAGCCTTCGTTGGAAACGGGAATATCTTCCCCTTGAAACCAGACAGAAGCATTCTCAGAAACTTCTTTGTGATGTGGGCATTGAACTCACGGAGCTGAACCTTCCTTTGGATTGAGCAGTTTTGAAAAACTCTTCCTTTATAATCTGCAGGTGGATATTTGGAGTGCTTTGAAGCCTTCTTTGGAAACGGGAGTATCGTCACATAAAAATAGACAGAAGTATTCCCAGAAACTTCTTTGTGATTTGTGCATTCAACTCACAGAGTTGAAGCTTCTTTTTGATAGAGCAGTTTTGAAACACCCTTTTTGCACAATCTGCAGGAGGATATTTGGAGCTCTTTGAGTGCTACATTGGAAACGGGAATATCGTCACCTGAAAACTAGAAAGAAGCATTCTCTGAAACCACTTTGTGATGTGTGCATTCATCTCACAGAGTTGAACTTTCTTTTTGATAGAGCAGTTTTGAAACCCTCTTTTTGTACAATCTGCAAGTGGATATTTGGAGCAAATTGAAGCCTTCTTTGGAAATGGGAATATCTTAAATCTAAAAATTAGGCAGAAGCATTCTCAGAAACTACTTTGTGATGTGTGCATTCAACTCACAGAATTGAACTTTCTTTTTGATACAGCAGTTTTGAAACACTCTTTGTTTAGAATCTGCAAGTGGATATTTGGAGCACATTTATGCCTGTGGTAGAAAAGGAAATATCTTCACATAAAAACTAGACAGAAGCATTCTCAGAAACGAATTTGTGTTGTGTGCATTCTACTCCCATAGTTGAAAATTTCTTTTGATAGAGCAGTCTGGAACCACTCTGTTTCTAAAATCTGCAAATGGACATTTGGAGCGCTTTGAAGGTTATGATGGAAAAGGGAATATCTTCGCATTAAAACTAGACAGAAGCATTCTCAGAAACTTCTTTGTGATGTGTGCATTCAACTCCCAGGTTGAACCTTTCTTTTGTTAGAGCAGTTTTGAAACACTCCTTTTGTAGAATCTGCAGGTGGATATTGAAGTACTCTTTGAAGCATTCTTTGGAAACGAGAATATCTTCACCTAAAACCTAGACATAAGCATTCTCAGAAACATCTTTGTGATGTGTCCATTCATCTCACAGAGTTGATAGAACAGTTTTGATAGAGCAGTTTTGAAACACTCTTTTTAAAGAATCTGCCAGTTCATATGTAGAGTGCTTTGAGGCTTATGGTAGAAAAGGAAATATCTTCATATAAAAACTAGACAGAAGCATTCTCAGAAACGACTTTGTGATGTGTGCATTCTACACACAAAGTTGAAACTTTCTTTTGATAGAGCAGTTTTGAAACCGTCTTTCCGAAGAATCTTCAAGTGGGCATTTCGAGGGCTTTGAGGACCATTGCGGATAAGGAAATATCTTCCCATAAGAAGTAGACAGAAGTATAATCAGAAACTTCATTTTGATGTGTACATTCAACTCACAAAGCAGACCCTTACTTTTGATAGAGAAGTTTTGAAACACTCTTTTTGTAGAATCTGCAATTGGATATTTGGAGCGCTTTCAGGCCTCTGGTAGAAAAGGAAATATCTTCACATAAAAACTAGACAGAAGCATTCTCAGAAACGACTTTGTGATGTGTGTATTCTACTCCCATAGTTGAACATTTCTTTTGATAGAGCCGCCTGGAAACAATCTTCTTGTAGAATCTGCAAGTGGACATTTGGAGCGTTTCGAAGGCTGTGGTTGAAAAGGTAATATCTTCACCTAAAAACTAAATGGAAGCATTCTCCGAAACGTTTTGTGATGTGTGCGTTCAACTCACAGAGCTGAACCTTCCTTTTCATAGACCAGTTTTGAATCACTCTTTTTGTAGAATCCGCATTTAGATATTTGGAGCACTTTGAAGACTTCATTGGAATCGCGAATACCTTCACATAAAAACTAGACAGAACCATTCTCAGAAACTTCTTTGAGATGTGTGCATTCAACTCACAGAGCTGAACCTTTCTTTTGATAGTGCAGTTTTGAAACATTCTTTTTAAAAAATCTGCAGTTGGACATTTGGAGCTCTTTTAGGCTATCGGTTGAAAAGGAAATATCTTCACATTAAAACAAGACAGAAGCATTCTCAGAAACTCCTTTATGATGTCTGCATTCAACTCACAGAGTTGAACCTTCCTTTTGATAGAGCAGTTTTGAAACACTCTTTCTGTAGAATCTGGAGGCGGATATTAGGGTGCTTTGAAGCCTTCTTGGGAAACAGGATTATCTTCACATAAAAATTAGACAGAAGCATTCTCAGAAACTTCTTTGTGATGTGTGCATTCAACTCACAGCGTTGAAACTTCCTTTTGCCAGAGCAGTTTTGAAACCCTCTTTTTGAAGAATCTGAAAGTGCATAATTGCAGCACTTTGAGGCTTAAGGTCGAAAAGGAAATATCTTCATATAAAAACTAGACAGAAGCATTCTCAGAAACTACTTTGTGATGTGTGCATTCTACTCACATAGTTGAAATTTCCTTCTGATACTGCAGTTTTGAAACAGTCTTTTTGAGGGATCTTCAAGTGGGCATTTTGAGGGCTTTGGGGACTATTGTGGATAAGGAAATATCTTCACATGAAAAGTAGACAGAAGTGTTCTCAGAAACTTCATTTTGATGGGTGCATTCCACTAACAAAGTACAACCTTACTTTTATAGAGCAGTTTTGAAACAGTCTTTTTGTAGACTCTGCAAGTGGATATTTGGAGCGCTTTGAAGCCTTCGTTGGAAACGGGAATATCTTCCCCTTGAAACTAGACAGAAGCATTCTCAGAAACTTCTTTGTGATGTGGGCATTGAACTCACGGAGCTGAAACTTCCTTTGGATTGAGCAGTTTTGAAAAACTCTTCCTTTATAATCTGCAGGTGGATATTTGGAGTGCTTTGAAGCCTTCTTTGGAAACGGGAGTATCGTCACATAAAAATAGACAGAAGTATTCCCAGAAACTTCTTTGTGATTTGTGCATTCAACTGACAGAGTTGAAGCTTCTTTTTGATAGAGCAGTTTTGAAACACCCTTTTTGCACAATCTGCAGGAGGATATTTGGAGCTCTTTGAGTGCTACATTGGAAACGGGAATATCGTCACCTAAAAACTAGAAAGAAGCATTCTCTGAAACCACTTTGTGATGTGTGCATTCATCTCACAGAGTTGAACCTTCCTTTTGATAGAGCAGTTTTGAAACCCTCTTTTTGTACAATCTGCAAGTGGATATTTGGAGCAAATTGAAGCCTTCTTTGGAAATTGGAATATCTTAAATCTAAAAATTAGGCAGAAGCATTCTCAGAAACTACTTTGTGATGTGTGCATTCAACTCACAGAATTGAACCTTCCTTTTGATACAGCAGTTTTGAAACACTCTTTTTTCAGAATCTGCAAGTGGATATTTGGAGCACATTTATGCCTGTGGTAGAAAAGGAAATATCTTCACATAAAAACTAGACAGAAGCATTCTCAGAAACGAATTTGTGTTGTGTGCATTCTACTCCCATAGTTGAAAATTTCTTTTGATAGAGCAGTCTGGAAACACTCTGTTTCTAAAATCTGCAAATGGACATTTGGAGCGCTTTGAAGGTTATGATGGAAAAGGGAATATCTTCGCATTAAAACTAGACAGAAGCATTCTCAGAAACTTCTTTGTGATGTGTGCATTCAACTCCCAGGTTGAACCTTTCTTTTGTTAGAGCAGTTTTGAAACACTCCTTTTGTAGAATCTGCAGGCGGATATTTAAGTACTCTTTGAAGCATTCTTTGGAAACGAGAATATCTTCACCTAAAACCTAGACAGAAGCATTCTCAGAAACATCTTTGTGATGTGTCCATTCATCTCACAGAGTTGATAGAACAGTTTTGATAGAGCAGTTTTGAAACACTCTTTTTAAAGAATCTGCCAGTTCATATGTGCAGTGCTTTGAGGCTTATGGTAGAAAAGGAAATATCTTCCTATAAAAACTAGACAGAAGCATTCTCAGAAACGACTTTGTGATGTGTGCATTCTACACACAAAGTTGAAACTTTCTTTTGATAGAGCAGTTTTGAAACCGTCTTTCCGAAGAATATTCAAGTGGGCATTTCGAGGGCTTTGAGGACCATTGCGGATAAGGAAATATCTTCCCATAAGAAGTAGACAGAAGTATAATCAGAAACTTCATTTTGATGTGTACATTCAACTCACAAAGCAGACCCTTACTTTTGATAGAGAAGTTTTGAAACACTCTTTTTGTAGAATCTGCAATTGGATATTTGGAGCGCTTTCAGGCCTCTGGTAGAAAAGGAAATATCTTCACATGAAAACTAGACAGAAGCATTCTCAGAAACCAATTTGTGTTGTGTGCATTCTACTCCCATAGTTGAACATTTCTTTTGATAGAGCCGCCTGGAAACACTCTGTTTCTAAAATCTGCAAATGGACATTTGGAGCGCTTTGAAGGTTATGATGGAAAAGGGAATATCTTCGCATTAAAACTAGACAGAAGCATTCTCAGAAACTTCTTTGTGATGTGTGCATTCAACTCCCAGGTTGAACCTTTCTTTTGTTAGAGCAGTTTTGAAACACTCCTTTTGTAGAATCTGCAGGCGGATATTTAAGTACTCTTTGAAGCATTCTTTGGAAACGAGAATATCTTCACCTAAAACCTAGACAGAAGCATTCTCAGAAACATCTTTGTGATGTGTCCATTCATCTCACAGAGTTGATAGAACAGTTTTGATAGAGCAGTTTTGAAACACTCTTTTTAAAGGATCTGCCAGTTCATATGTGCAGTGCTTTGAGGCTTATGGTAGAAAAGGAAATATCTTCATATAAAAACTAGACAGAAGCATTCTCAGAAACGACTTTGTGATGTGTGCATTCTACACACAAAGTTGAAACTTTCTTTTGATAGAGCAGTTTTGAAACAGTCTTTCCGAAGAATCTTCAAGTGGGCATTTCGAGGGCTTTGAGGACCATTGCGGATAAGGAAATATCTTCCCATAAGAAGTAGACAGAAGTATAATCAGAAACTTCATTTTGATGTGTACATTCAACTCACAAAGCAGACCCTTACTTTTGATAGAGAAGTTTTGAAACACTCTTTTTGTAGAATCTGCAATTGGATATTTGGAGCGCTTTCAGGCCTCTGGTAGAAAAGGAAATATCTTCACATAAAAACTAGACAGAAGCATTCTCAGAAACGACTTTGTGATGTGTGTATTCTACTCCCATAGTTGAACATTTCTTTTGATAGAGCCGCCTGGAAACAATCTTCTTGTAGAATCTGCAAGTGGACATTTGGAGCGTTTCGAAGGCTGTGGTTGAAAAGGTAATATCTTCACCTAAAAACTAAATGGAAGCATTGTCGGAAACTTTTTGTGATGTGTGCGTTCAACTCACAGAGCTGAACCTTCCTTTTCATAGACCAGTTTTGAATCACTCTTTTTGTAGGATCCGCATTTAGATATTTGGAGCGCTTTGAAGACTTCATTGGAATCGCGAATACCTTCACATAAAAACTAGACAGAACCATTCTCAGAAACTTCTTTGAGATGTGTGCATTCAACTCACAGAGTTGAACCTTTCTTTTGATAGTGCAGTTTTGAAACATTCTTTTTAAAAAATCTGCAGTTGGACATTTGGAGCTCTTTTAGGCTATCGGTTGAAAAGGAAATATCTTCACATTAAAACAAGACAGAAGCATTCTCAGAAACTCCTTTATGATGTCTGCATTCAACTCACAGAGTTGAACCTTCCTTTTCATAGAGCAGTTTTGAAACACTCTTTCTGTAGAATCTGGAGGCGGATATTAGGGTGCTTTGAAGCCTTCTTGGGAAACAGGATTATCTTCACATAAAAATTAGACAGAAGCATTCTCAGAAACTTCTTTGTGATGTGTGCATTCAACTCACAGCGTTGAAACTTCCTTTTGCCAGAGCAGTTTTGAAACCCTCTTTTTGAAGAATCTGAAAGTGCATAATTGCAGCACTTTGAGGCTTAAGGTCGAAAAGGAAATATCTTCATATAAAAACTAGACAGAAGCATTCTCAGAAACTACTTTGTGATGTGTGCATTCTACTCACATAGTTGAAATTTCCTTCTGATACTGCAGTTTTGAAACAGTCTTTTTGAGGGATCTTCAAGTGGGCATTTTGAGGGCTTTGGGGACTATTGTGGATAAGGAAATATCTTCACATGAAAAGTAGACAGAAGTGTTCTCAGAAACTTCATTTTGATGGGTGCATTCCACTAACAAAGTACAACCTTACTTTTATAGAGCAGTTTTGAAACAGTCTTTTTGTAGACTCTGCAAGTGGATATTTGGAGCGCTTTGAAGCCTTCGTTGGAAACGGGAATATCTTCCCCTTGAAACTAGACAGAAGCATTCTCAGAAACTTCTTTGTGATGTGGGCATTGAACTCACGGAGCTGAACCTTCCTTTGGATTGAGCATTTTTGAAAAACTCTTCCTTTATAATCTGCAGGTGGATATTTGGAGTGCTTTGAAGCCTTCTTTGGAAACGGGACTATCGTCACATAAAAATAGACAGAAGTATTCCCAGAAACTTCTTTGTGATTTGTGCATTCAACTCACAGAGTTGAAGCTTCTTTTTGATAGAGCAGTTTTGAAACACCCTTTTTGCACAATCTGCAGGAGGATATTTGGAGCTCTTTGAGTGCTACATTGGAAACGGGAATATCGTCACCTAAAAACTAGAAAGAAGCATTCTCTGAAACCACTTTGTGATGTGTGCATTCATCTCACAGAGTTGAACCTTCCTTTTGATAGAGCAGTTTTGAAACCCTCTTTTTGTACAATCTGCAAGTGGATATTTGGAGCAAATTGAAGCCTTCTTTGGAAATTGGAATATCTTAAATCTAAAAATTAGGCAGAAGCATTCTCAGAAACTACTTTGTGATGTGTGCATTCAACTCACAGAATTGAACCTTCCTTTTGATACAGCAGTTTTGAAACACTCTTTTTTCAGAATCTGCAAGTGGATATTTGGAGCACATTTATGCCTGTGGTAGAAAAGGAAATATCTTCACATAAAAACTAGACAGAAGCATTCTCAGAAACGAATTTGTGTTGTGTGCATTCTACTCCCATAGTTGAAAATTTCTTTTGATAGAGCAGTCTGGAAACACTCTGTTTCTAAAATCTGCAAATGGACATTTGGAGCGCTTTGAAGGTTATGATGGAAAAGGGAATATCTTCGCATTAAAACTAGACAGAAGCATTCTCAGAAACTTCTTTGTGATGTGTGCATTCAACTCCCAGGTTGAACTTTTCTTTTGTTAGAGCAGTTTTGAAACACTCCTTTTGTAGAATCCGCAGGCGGATATTTAAGTACTCTTTGAAGCATTCTTTGGAAACGAGAATATCTTCACCTAAAACCTAGACAGAAGCATTCTCAGAAACATCCTTGTGATGTGTCCATTCATCTCACAGAGTTGATAGAACAGTTTTGATAGAGCAGTTTTGAAACACTCTTTTTAAAGAATCTGCCAGTTCATATGTGCAGTGCTTTGAGGCTTATGGCAGAAAAGGAAATATCTTCATATAAAAACTAGACAGAAGCATTCTCAGAAACGACTTTGTGATGTGTGCATTCTACACACAAAGTTGAAACTTTCTTTTGATAGAGCAGTTTTGAAACCGTCTTTCCGAAGAATCTTCAAGTGGGCATTTCGAGGGCTTTGAGGACCATTGCGGATAAGGAAATATCTTCCCATAAGAAGTAGACAGAAGTATAATCAGAAACTTCATTTTGATGTGTACATTCAACTCACAAAGCAGACCCTTACTTTTGATAGAGAAGTTTTGAAACACTCTTTTTGTAGAATCTGCAATTGGATATTTGGAGCGCTTTCAGGCCTCTGGTAAAAAAGGAAATATCTTCACATAAAAACTAGACAGAAGCATTCTCAGAAACGACTTTGTGATGTGTGTATTCTACTCCCATAGTTGAACATTTCTTTTGATAGAGCCGCCTGGAAACAATCTTCTTGTAGAATCTGCAAGTGGACATTTGGAGCGTTTCGAAGGCTGTGGTTGAAAAGGTAATATCTTCACCTAAAAACTAAATGGAAGCATTCTCCGAAAAGTTTTGTGATGTGTGCGTTCAACTCACAGAGCTGAACCTTCCTTTTCATAGACCAGTTTTGAATCACTCTTTTTGTAGAATCCGCATTTAGATATTTGGAGCGCTTTGAAGACTTCATTGGAATCGCGAATACCTTCACATAAAAACTAGACAGAACCATTCTCAGAAACTTCTTTGAGATGTGTGCATTCAACTCACAGAGCTGAACCTTTCTTTTGATAGTGCAGTTTTGAAACATTCTTTTTAAAAAATCTGCAGTTGGACATTTGGAGCTCTTTTAGGCTATCGGTTGAAAAGGAAATATCTTCACATTAAAACAAGACAGAAGCATTCTCAGAAACTCCTTTATGATGTCTGCATTCAACTCACAGAGTTGAACCTTCCTTTCCATAGAGCAGTTTTGAAACACTCTTTCTGTAGAATCTGGAGGCGGATATTAGGGTGCTTTGAAGCCTTCTTGGGAAGCAGGATTATCTTCACATAAAAATTAGACAGAAACATTCTCAGAAACTTCTTTGTGATGTGTGCATTCAACTCACAGCGTTGAAACTTCCTTTTGCTAGAGCAGTTTTGAAACCCTCTTTTTGAACAATCTGAAAGTGCATAATTGCAGCACTTTGAGGCTTAAGGTAGAAAAGGAAATATCTTCATATAAAAACTAGACAGAAGCATTCTCAGAAACTACTTTGTGATGTGTGCATTATACTCACATAGTTGAAATTTCCTTCTGATACTGCAGTTTTGAAACAGTCTTTTTGAGCGATCTTCAAGTGGGCATTTTGAGGGCTTTGGGGACTATTGTGGATAAGGAAATATCTTCACATGAATAGTAGACAGAAGTGTTCTCAGAAACTTCATTTTGATGGGTGCATTCAAGTAACAAAGTACAACCTAACTTTTATAGAGCAGTTGTGAAACAGTCTTTTTGTAGACTCTGCAAGTGGATATTTGGAGCGCTTTGAAGCCTTCGTTGGAAACGGGAATATCTTCCCATTGAAACTAGACAGAAGCATTCTCAGAAACTTCTTTGTGATGTGGGCATTGAACTCACGGAGCTGAACCTTCCTTTGGATTGAGCAGTTTTGAAAAACTCTTCCTTTATAATCTGCAGGTGGATATTTGGAGTGCTTTGAAGCCTTCTTTGGAAACGGGAGTATCGTCACATAAAAATAGACAGAAGTATTCCCAGAAACTTCTTTGTGATTTGTGCATTCAACTCACAGAGTTGAAGCTTCTTTTTGATAGAGCAGTTTTGAAACACCCTTTTTGCACAATCTGCAGGAGGATATTTGGAGCTCTTTGAGTGCTACATTGGAAACGGGAATATCGTCACCTAAAAACTAAAAAGAAGCATTCTCTGAAACCACTTTGTGATGTGTGCATTCATCTCACAGAGTTGAACCTTCCTTTTGATAGAGCAGTTCTGAAACCCTCTTTTTGTACAATCTGCAAGTGGATATTTGGAGCAAATTGAAGCCTTCTTTGGAAATGGGAATATCTTAAATCTAAAAATTAGGCAGAAGCATTCTCAGAAACTACTTTGTGATGTGTGCATTCAACTCACAGAATTGAACCTTCCTTTTGATACAGCAGATTTGAAACACTCTTTTTTCAGAATCTGCAAGTGGATATTTGGAGCACATTTATGCCTGTGGTAGAAAAGGAAATATCTTCACATAAAAACTAGACAGAAGCATTCTCAGAAACGAATTTGTGTTGTGTGCATTCTACTCCCATAGTTGAAAATTTCTTTTGATAGAGCAGTCTTGAACCACTCTGTTTCTAAAATCTGCAAATGGACATTTGGAGCGCTTTGAAGGTTATGATGGAAAAGGGAATATCTTCGCATTAATACTAGACAGAAGCATTCTCAGAAACTTCTTTGTGATGTGTGCATTCAACTCCCAGGTTGAACCTTTCTTTTGTTAGAGCAGTTTTGAAACACTCCTTCTGTAGAATCTGCAGGCGGATATTTAAGTACTCTTTGAAGCATTCTTTGGAAACGAGAATATCTTCACCTAAAACCTAGACAGAAGCATTCTCAGAAACATCTTTGTGATGTGTCCATTCATCTCACAGAGTTGATAGAACAGTTTTGATAGAGCAGATTTGAAACACTCTTTTTAAAGAATCTGCCAGTTCATATGTGCAGTGCTTTGAGGCTTATGGTAGAAAAGGAAATATCTTCCTATAAAAACTAGACAGAAGCATTCTCAGAAACGACTTTGTGATGCGTGCATTGTACACACAAAGTTGAAACTTTCTTTTGATAGAGCAGTTTTGAAACCGTCTTTCCGAAGAATCTTCAAGTGGGCATTTCGAGGGCTTTGAGGACCATTGCGGATAAGGAAATATCTTCCCATAAGAAGTAGACAGAAGTATAATCAGAAACTTCATTTTGATGTGTACATTCAACTCACAAAGCAGACCCTTACTTTTGATAGAGAAGTTTTGAAACACTCTTTTTGTAGAATCTGCAATTGGATGTTTGGAGCGCTTTCAGGCCTCTGGTAGAAAAGGAAATATCTTCACATAAAAACTAGACAGAAGCATTCTCAGAAACGACTTTGTGATGTGTGTATTCTACTCCCATAGTTGAACATTTCTTTTGATAGAGCCGCCTGGAAACAATCTTCTTGTAGAATCTGCAAGTGGACATTTGGAGCGTTTCGAAGGCTGTGGTTGAAAAGGTAATATCTTCACCCAAAAACTAAATGGAAGCATTGTCCGAAACTTTTTGTGATGTGTGCGTTCAACTCACAGAGCTGAACCTTCCTTTTCATAGACCAGTTTTGAATCACTCTTTTTGTAGAATCCGCATTTAGATATTTGGAGCGCTTTGAAGACTTCATTGGAATCGCGAATACCTTCACATAAAAACTAGACAGAACCATTCTCAGAAACTTCTTTGAGATGTGTGCATTCCACTCACAGAGCTGAACCTTTCTTTTGATAGTGCAGTTTTGAAACATTCTTTTTAAAAAATCTGCAGTTGGACATTTGGAGCTCTTTTAGGCTATCGGTTGAAAAGGAAATATCTTCACATTAAAACAAGACAGAAGCATTCTCAGAAACTCCTTTATGATGTCTGCATTCAACTCACAGAGTTGAACCTTCCTTTTCATAGAGCAGTTTTGAAACACTCTTTCTGTAGAATCTGGAGGCGGATATTAGGGTGCTTTGAAGCCTTCTTGGGAAACAGGATTATCTTCACATAAAATTTAGACAGAAGCATTCTCAGAAACTTCTTTGTGATGTGAGCATTCAACTCACAGCGTTGAAACTTCCTTTTGCCAGAGCAGTTTTGAAACCCTCTTTTTGAAGAATCTGAAAGTGCATAATTGCAGCACTTTGAGGCTTAAGGTCGAAAAGGAAATATCTTCATATAAAAACTAGACAGAAGCATTCTCAGAAACTACTTTGTGATGTGTGCATTCTACTCACATAGTTGAAATTTCCTTCTGATACTGCAGTTTTGAAACAGTCTTTTTGAGGGATCTTCAAGTGGGCATTTTGAGGGCTTTGGGGACTATTGTGGATAAGGAAATATCTTCACATGAAAAGTAGACAGAAGTGTTCTCAGAAACTTCATTTTGATGGGTGCATTCAACTAACAAAGTACAACCTTACTTTTATAGAGCAGTTTTGAAACGGTCTTTTTGTAGACTCTGCAAGTGGATATTTGGAGCGCTTTGAAGCCTTCGTTGGAAACGGGAATATCTTCCCCTTGAAACTAGACAGAAGCATTCTCAGAAACTTCTTTGTGATGTGGGCATTGAACTCACGGAGCTGAACCTTCCTTTGGATTGAGCAGTTTTGAAAAACTCTTCCTTTATAATCTGCAGGTGGATATTTGGAGTGCTTTGAAGCCTTCTTTGGAAACGGGAGTATCGTCACATAAAAATAGACAGAAGTATTCCCAGAAACTTCTTTGTGATTTGTGCATTCAACTCACAGAGTTGAAGCTTCTTTTTGATAGAGCAGTTTTGAAACACCCTTTTTGCACAATCTGCAGGAGGATATTTGGAGCTCTTTGAGTGCTACATTGGAAATGGGAATATCGTCACCTAAAAACTAGAAAGAAGCATTCTCTGAAACCACTTTGTGATGTGTGCATTCATCTCACAGAGTTGAACCTTCCTTTTGATAGAGCAGTTTTGAAACCCTCTTTTTGTACAATCTGCAAGTGGATATTTGGAGCAAATTGAAGCCTTCTTTGGAAATGGGAATATCTTAAATCTAAAAATTAGGCAGAAGCATTCTCAGAAACTACTTTGTGATGTGTGCATTCAACTCACAGAATTGAACCTTCCTTTTGATACAGCAGTTTTGAAACACTCTTTGTTTAGAATCTGCAAGTGGATATTTGGAGCACATGTATGCCTACGGTAGAAAAGGAAATATCTTCACATAAAAACTAGACAGAAGCATTCTCAGAAACGAATTTGTGTTGTGTGCATTCTACTCCCATAGTTGAAAATTTCTTTTGATAGAGCAGTCTGGAAACACTCTGTTTCTAAAATCTGCAAATGGACATTTGGAGCGCTTTGAAGGTTATGATGGAAAAGGGAATATCCTCGCATTAAAACTAGACAGAAGCATTCTCAGAAACTTCTTTGTGATGTGTGCATTCAACTCCCAGGTTGAACCTTTCTTTTGTTAGAGCAGTTTTGAAACACTCCTTTTGTAGAATCTGCAGGCGGATATTTAAGTACTCTTTGAAGCATTCTTTGGAAACGAGAATATCTTCACCTAAAACCTAGACAGAAGCATTCTCAGAAACATCTTTGTCATGTGTCCATTCATCTCACAGAGTTGATAGAACAGTTTTGATAGAGCAGTTTTGAAACACTCTTTTTAAAGAATCTGCCAATTCATATGTGCAGTGCTTTGAGGCTTATGGTAGAAAAGGAAATATCTTCATATAAAAACTAGACAGAAGCATTCTCAGAAACGACTTTGTGATGTGTGCATTCTACACACAAAGTTGAAACTTTCTTTTGATAGAGCAGTTTTGAAACAGTCTTTCCGAAGAATCTTCAAGTGGACATTTCGAGGGCTTTGAGGACCATTGCGGATAAGGAAATATCTTCCCATAAGAAGTAGACAGAAGTATAATCAGAAACTTCATTTTGATGTGTACATTCAACTCACAAAGCAGACCCTTACTTTTGATAGAGAAGTTTTGAAACACTCTTTTTGTAGAATCTGCAATTGGATATTTGGAGCGCTTTCAGGCCTCTGGTAGAAAAGGAAATATCTTCACATAAAAACTAGA
The DNA here is from genome assembly GCF_000001405.40 of Homo sapiens. Classification (NCBI taxonomy): domain Eukaryota; kingdom Metazoa; phylum Chordata; class Mammalia; order Primates; family Hominidae; genus Homo; species Homo sapiens. Next base: position 61,181,661 of record NC_000007.14, read on the forward strand.
CAGAAGCATTCTCAGAAACGACTTTGTGATGTGTGTATTCTACTCCCATAGTTGAACATTTCTTTTGATAGAGCCGCCTGGAAACAATCTTCTTGTAGAATCTGCAAGTGGACATTTGGAGCGTTTCGAAGGCTGTGGTTGAAAAGGTAATATCTTCACCCAAAAACTAAATGGAAGCATTGTCCGAAACTTTTTGTGATGTGTGCGTTCAACTCACAGAGCTGAACCTTCCTTTTCATAGACCAGTTTTGAATCACTCTTTTTGTAGAATCCGCATTTTGATATTTGGAGCGCTTTGAAGACTTCATTGGAATCGCGAATACCTTCACATAAAAACTAGACAGAACCATTCTCAGAAACTTCTTTGAGATGTGTGCATTCAACTCACAGCGTTGAAACTTCCTTTTGCCAGAGCAGTTTTGAAACCCTCTTTTTGAAGAATCTGAAAGTGCATAATTGCAGCACTTTGAGGCTTAAGGTCGAAAAGGAAATATCTTCATATAAAAACTAGACAGAAGCATTCTCAGAAACTACTTTGTGATGTGTGCATTCTACTCACATAGTTGAAATTTCCTTCTGATGCTGCAGTTTTGAAACAGTATTTTTGAGGGATCTTCAAGTGGGCATTTTGAGGGCTTTGGGGACTATTGTGGATAAGGAAATATCTTCACATGAAAAGTAGACAGAAGTGTTCTCAGAAACTTCATTTTGATGGGTGCATTCCACTAACAAAGTACAACCTTACTTTTATAGAGCAGTTTTGAAACAGTCTTTTTGTAGACTCTGCAAGTGGATATTTGGAGCGCTTTGAAGCCTTCGTTGGAAACGGGAATATCTTCCCCTTGAAACTAGACAGAAGCATTCTCAGAAACTTCTTTGTGATGTGGGCATTGAACTCACGGATCTGAACCTTCCTTTGGATTGAGCAGTTTTGAAAAACTCTTCCTTTATAATCTGCAGGTGGATATTTGGAGTGCTTTGAAGCCTTCTTTGGAAACGGGAGTATCGTCACATAAAAATAGACAGAAGTATTCCCAGAAACTTCTTTGTGATTTGTGCATTCAACTCACAGAGTTGAAGCTTCTTTTTGATAGAGCAGTTTTGAAACACCCTTTTTGCACAATCTGCAGGAGGATATTTGGAGCTCTTTGAGTGCTACATTGGAAACGGGAATATCGTCACCTAAAAACTAGAAAGAAGCATTCTCTGAAACCACTTTGTGATGTGTGCATTCATCTCACAGAGTTGAACCTTCCTTTTCATAGAGCAGTTTTGAAACCCTCTTTTTGTACAATCTGCAAGTGGATATTTGGAGCAAATTGAAGCCTTCTTTGGAAATGGGAATATCTTAAATCTAAAAATTAGGCAGAAGCATTCTCAGAAACTACTTTGTGATGTGTGCATTCAACTCACAGAATTGAACCTTCCTTTTGATACAGCAGATTTGAAACACTCTTTGTTTAGAATCTGCAAGTGGATATTTGGAGCACATGTATGCCTACGGTAGAAAAGGAAATATCTTCACATAACAACTAGACAGAAGCATTCTCAGAAACGAATTTGTGTTGTGTGCATTCTACTACCATAGTTGAAAATTTCTTTTGATAGAGCAGTCTGGAAACACTCTGTTTCTAAAATCTGCAAATGGACATTTGGAGCGCTTTGAAGGTTATGATGGAAAAGGGAATATCTTCGCATTAAAACTAGACAGAAGCATTCTCAGAAACTTCTTTGTGATGTGTGCATTCAACTCCCAGGTTGAACCTTTCTTTTGTTAGAGCAGTTTTGATACACTCCTTTTGTAGAATCTGCAGGCGGATATTTAAGTACTCTTTGAAGCATTCTTTGGAAACGAGAATATCTTCACCTAAAACCTAGACAGAAGCATTCACAGAAACATCTTTGTGATGTGTCCATTCATCTCACAGAGTTGATAGAACAGTTTTGATAGAGCAGTTTTGAAACACTCTTTTTAAAGAATCTGCCAGTTCATATGTGCAGTGCTTTGAGGCTTATGGTAGAAAAGGAAATATCTTCCTATAAAAACTAGACAGAAGCATTCTCAGAAACGACTTTGTGATGTGTGCATTCTACACACAAAGTTGAAACTTTCTTTTGATAGAGCAGTTTTGAAACCGTCTTTCCGAAGTATCTTCAAGTGGGCATTTCGAGGGCTTTGAGGACCATTGCGGATAAGGAAATATCTTCCCATAAGAAGTAGACAGAAGTATAATCAGAAACTTCATTTTGATGTGCACATTTAACTCACAAAGCACACCCTTACTTTTGATAGAGAAGTTTTGAAACACTCTTTTTGTAGAATCTGCAATTGGATATTTGGAGCACTTTCAGGCCTCTGGTAGAAAAGGAAATATCTTCACATAAAAACTAGACAGAAGCATTCTCAGAAACGACTTTGTGATGTGTGTATTCTACTCCCATAGTTGAACATTTCTTTTGATAGAGCCGCCTGGAAACAATCTTCTTGTAGAATCTGCAAGTGGACATTTGGAGCGTTTCGAAGGCTGTGGTTGAAAAGGTAATATCTTCACCCAAAAACTAAATGGAAGCATTGTCCGAAACTTTTTGTGATGTGTGCGTTCAACTCACAGAGCTGAACCTTCCTTTTCATAGACCAGTTTTGAATCACTCTTTTTGTAGAATCCGCATTTTGATATTTGGAGCGCTTTGAAGACTTCATTGGAATCGCGAATACCTTCACATAAAAACTAGACAGAACCATTCTCAGAAACTTCTTTGAGATGTGTGCATTCAACTCACAGAGCTGAACCTTTCTTTTGATAGTGCAGTTTTGAAACATTCTTTTTAAAAAATCTGCAGTTGGACATTTGGAGCTCTTTTAGGCTATCGGTTGAAAAGGAAATATCTTCACATTAAAACAAGACAGAAGCATTCTCAGAAACTCCTTTATGATGTCTGCATTCAACTCACAGAGTTGAACCTTCCTTTTGATAGAGCAGTTTTGAAACACTCTTTCTGTAGAATCTGGAGGCGGATATTAGGGTGCTTTGAAGCCTTCTTGGGAAACAGGATTATCTTCACATAAAAATTAGACAGAAGCATTCTCAGAAACTTCTTTGTGATGTGTGCATTCAACTCACAGCGTTGAAACTTCCTTTTGCCAGAGCAGTTTTGAAACCCTCTTTTTGAAGAATCTGAAAGTGCATAATTGCAGCACTTTGAGGCTTAAGGTCGAAAAGGAAATATCTTCATATAAAAACTAGACAGAAGCATTCTCAGAAACTACTTTGTGATGTGTGCATTCTACTCACATAGTTGAAATTTCCTTCTGATACTGCAGTTTTGAAACAGTCTTTTTGAGGGATCTTCAAGTGGGCATTTTGAGGGCTTTGGGGACTATTGTGGATAAGGAAATATCTTCACATGAAAAGTAGACAGAAGTGTTCTCAGAAACTTCATTTTGATGGGTGCATTCCACTAACAAAGTACAACCTTACTTTTATAGAGCAGTTTTGAAACAGTCTTTTTGTAGACTCTGCAAGTGGATATTTGGAGCGCTTTGAAGCCTTCGTTGGAAACGGGAATATCTTCCCTTGAAACTAGACAGAAGCATTCTCAGAAACTTCTTTTGTGATGTGGGCATTGAACTCACGGAGCTGAACCTTCCTTTGGATTGAGCATTTTTGAAAAACTCTTCCTTTATAATCTGCAGGTGGATATTTGGAGTGCTTTGAAGCCTTCTTTGGAAACGGGACTATCGTCACATAAAAATAGACAGAAGTATTCCCAGAAACTTCTTTGTGATTTGTGCATTCAACTCACAGAGTTGAAGCTTCTTTTTGATAGAGCAGTTTTGAAACACCCTTTTTGCACAATCTGCAGGAGGATATTTGGAGCTCTTTGAGTGCTACATTGGAAACGGGAATATCGTCACCTAAAAACTAGAAAGAAGCATTCTCGGAAACCACTTTGTGATGTGTGCATTCATCTCACAGAGTTGAACCTTCCTTTTGATAGAGCAGTTTTGAAACCCTCTTTTTGTACACTCTGCAAGTGGATATTTGGAGCAAATTGAAGCCTTCTTTGGAAATGGGAATATCTTAAATCTAAAAATTAGGCAGAAGCATTCTCAGAAACTACTTTGTGATGTGTGCATTCAACTCACAGAATTGAACCTTCCTTTTGATACAGCAGTTTTGAAACACTCTTTGTTTAGAATCTGCAAGTGGATATTTGGAGCACATTTATGCCTGTGGTAGAAAAGGAAATATCTTCACATAAAAACTAGACAGAAGCATTCTCAGAAACGAATTAGTGTTGTGTGTATTCTACTCCCATAGTTGAAAATTTCTTTTGATAGAGCAGTCTGGAACCACTCTGTTTCTAAAATCTGCAAATGGACATTTGGAGCGCTTTGAAGGTTATGATGGAAAAGGGAATATCTTCGCATTAAAACTAGACAGAAGCATTCTCAGAAACTTCTTTGTGATGTGTGCATTCAACTCCCAGGTTGAACTTTTCTTTTGTTAGAGCAGTTTTGAAACACTCCTTTTGTAGAATCTGCAGGCGGATATTTAAGTACTCTTTGAAGCATTCTTTGGAAACGAGAATATCTTCACCTAAAACCTAGACAGAAGCATTCTCAGAAACATCCTTGTGATGTGTCCATTCATCTCACAGAGTTGATAGAACAGTTTTGATAGAGCAGTTTTGAAACACTCTTTTTAAAGAATCTGCCAGTTCATATGTGCAGTGCTTTGAGGCTTATGGTAGAAAAGGAAATATCTTCATATAAAAACTAGACAGAAGCATTCTCAGAAACGACTTTGTGATGTGTGCATTCTACACACAAAGTTGAAACTTTCTTTTGATAGAGCAGTTTTGAAACCGTCTTTCCGAAGAATCTTCAAGTGGGCATTTCGAGGGCTTTGAGGACCATTGCGGATAAGGAAATATCTTCCCATAAGAAGTAGACAGAAGTATAATCAGAAACTTCATTTTGATGTGTACATTCAACTCACAAAGCAGACCCTTACTTTTGATAGAGAAGTTTTGAAACACTCTTTTTGTAGAATCTGCAATTGGATATTTGGAGCGCTTTCAGGCCTCTGGTAAAAAAGGAAATATCTTCACATAAAAACTAGACAGAAGCATTCTCAGAAACGACTTTGTGATGTGTGTATTCTACTCCCATAGTTGAACATTTCTTTTGATAGAGCCGCCTGGAAACAATCTTCTTGTAGAATCTGCAAGTGGACATTTGGAGCGTTTCGAAGGCTGTGGTTGAAAAGGTAATATCTTCACCTAAAAACTAAATGGAAGCATTCTCCGAAAAGTTTTGTGATGTGTGCGTTCAACTCACAGAGCTGAACCTTCCTTTTCATAGACCAGTTTTGAATCACTCTTTTTGTAGAATCCGCATTTAGATATTTGGAGCGCTTTGAAGACTTCATTGGAATCGCGAATACCTTCACATAAAAACTAGACAGAACCATTCTCAGAAACTTCTTTGAGATGTGTGCATTCAACTCACAGAGCTGAACCTTTCTTTTGATAGTGCAGTTTTGAAACATTCTTTTTAAAAAATCTGCAGTTGGACATTTGGAGCTCTTTTAGGCTATCGGTTGAAAAGGAAATATCTTCACATTAAAACAAGACAGAAGCATTCTCAGAAACTCCTTTATGATGTCTGCATTCAACTCACAGAGTTGAACCTTCCTTTTGATAGAGCAGTTTTGAAACACTCTTTCTGTAGAATCTGGAGGCGGATATTAGGGTGCTTTGAAGCCTTCTTGGGAAACAGGATTATCTTCACATAAAAATTAGACAGAAGCATTCTCAGAAACTTCTTTGTGATGTGTGCATTCAACTCACAGCGTTGAAACTTCCTTTTGCCAGAGCAGTTTTGAAACCCTCTTTTTGAAGAATCTGAAAGTGCATAATTGCAGCACTTTGAGGCTTAAGGTCGAAAAGGAAATATCTTCATATAAAAACTAGACAGAAGCATTCTCAGAAACTACTTTGTGATGTGTGCATTCTACTCACATAGTTGAAATTTCCTTCTGATACTGCAGTTTTGAAACAGTCTTTTTGAGGGATCTTCAAGTGGGCATTTTGAGGGCTTTGGGGACTATTGTGGATAAGGAAATATCTTCACATGAAAAGTAGACAGAAGTGTTCTCAGAAACTTCATTTTGATGGGTGCATTCCACTAACAAAGTACAACCTTACTTTTATAGAGCAGTTTTGAAACAGTCTTTTTGTAGACTCTGCAAGTGGATATTTGGAGCGCTTTGAAGCCTTCGTTGGAAACGGGAATATCTTCCCCTTGAAACTAGACAGAAGCATTCTCAGAAACTTCTTTGTGATGTGGGCATTGAACTCACGGAGCTGAACCTTCCTTTGGATTGAGCAGTTTTGAAAAACTCTTCCTTTATTATCTGCAGGTGGATATTTGGAGTGCTTTGAAGCCTTCTTTGGAAACGGGAGTATCGTCACATAAAAATAGACAGAAGTATTCCCAGAAACTTCTTTGTGATTTGTGCATTCAACTCACAGAGTTGAAGCTTCTTTTTGATAGAGCAGTTTTGAAACACCCTTTTTGCACAATCTGCAGGAGGATATTTGGAGCTCTTTGAGTGCTACATTGGAAACGGGAATATCGTCACCTAAAAACTAGAAAGAAGCATTCTCTGAAACCACTTTGTGATGTGTGCATTCATCTCACAGAGTTGAACCTTCCTTTTGATAGAGCAGTTTTGAAACCCTCTTTTTGTACAATCTGCAAGTGGATATTTGGAGCAAATTGAAGCCTTCTTTGGAAATGGGAATATCTTAAATCTAAAAATTAGGCAGAAGCATTCTCAGAAACTACTTTGTGATGTGTGCATTCAACTCACAGAATTGAACCTTCCTTTTGATACAGCAGTTTTGAAACACTCTTTTTTTTAGAATCTGCAAGTGGATATTTGGAGCACATTTATGCCTGTGGTAGAAAAGGAAATATCTTCACATAAAAACTAGACAGAAGCATTCTCAGAAACGAATTTGTGATGTGTGCATTCTACTCCCATAGTTGAAAATTTCTTTTGATAGAGCAGTGTGGAAACACTCTGTTTCTAAAATCTGTAAATGGACAGTTGGAGCGCTTTGAAGGTTATGATGGAAAAGGGAATATCTTCGCATTAAAACTAGACAGAAGCATTCTCAGAAACTTCTTTCTGATGTGTGCATTCAACTCCCAGGTTGAACCTTTCTTTTGTTAGAGCAGTTTTGAAACACTCCTTTTGTAGAATCTGCAGGCAGATATTTAAGTACTCTTTGAAGCATTCTTTGGAAACGAGAATATCTTCACCTAAATCCTAGACAGAAGCATTCTCAGAAACATCTTTGTGATGTGTCCATTCATCTCACAGAGTTGATAGAACAGTTTTGATAGAGCAGTTTTGAAACACTTTTTAAAGGATCTGCCAGTTCATATGTGCAGTGCTTTGAGGCTTATGGTAGAAAAGGAAATATCTTCATATAAAACCTAGACAGAAGCATTCTCAGAAACGACTTTGTGATGTGTGCATTCTACACACAAAGTTGAAACTTTCTTTTGATAGAGCAGTTTTGAAGCAGTCTTTCCGAAGAATCTTCAAGTGGACATTTCGAGGGCTTTGAGGACCATTGCGGATAAGGAAATATCTTCCCATAAGAAGTAGACAGAAGTATAATCAGAAACTTCATTTTGATGTGTACATTCAACTCACAAAGCAGACCCTTACTTTTGATAGAGAAGTTTTGAAACACTCTTTTTGTAGAATCTGCAATTGGATATTTGGAGCGCTTTCAGGCCTCTGGTAGAAAAGGAAATATCTTCACATAAAAACTAGACAGAAGCATTCTCAGAAACGACTTTGTGATGTGTGTATTCTACTCCCATAGTTGAACATTTCTTTTGATAGAGCCGCCTGGAAACAATCTTCTTGCAGAATCTGCAAGTGGACATTTGGAGCGTTTCGAAGGCTGTGGTTGAAAAGGTAATATCTTCACCCAAAAACTAAATGGAAGCATTGTCCGAAACTTTTTGTGATGTGTGCGTTGAACTCACAGAGCTGAACCTTCCTTTTCATAGACCAGTTTTGAATCACTCTTTTTGTAGAATCCGCATTTAGATATTTGGAGCGCTTTGAAGACTTCATTGGAATCGTGAATACCTTCACATAAAAACTAGACAGAACCATTCTCAGAAACTTCTTTGAGATGTGTGCATTCAACTCACAGAGCTGAACCTTTCTTTTGATAGTGCAGTTTTGAAACATTCTTTTTAAAAAATCTGCAGTTGGACATTTGAGCTCTTTTAGGCTATCGGTTGAAAAGGAAATATCTTCACATTAAAACAAGACAGAAGCATTCTCAGAAACTCCTTTATGATGTCTGCATTCAACTCACAGAGTTGAACCTTACTTTTGATAGAGCACTTTTGAAACACTCTTTCTGTAGAATCTGGAGGCGGATATTAGGGTGCTTTGAAGCCTTCTTGGGAAACAGGATTATCTTCACATAAAAATTAGACAGAAACATTCTCAGAAACTTCTTTGTGATGTGTGCATTCAACTCACAGCGTTGAACCTTCCTTTTGCCAGAGCAGTTTTGAAACCCTCTTTTTGAAGAATCTGAAAGTGCATAATTGCAGCACTTTGAGGCTTAAGGTCGAAAAGGAAATATCTTCATATAAAAACTAGACAGAAGCATTCTCAGAAACTACTTTGTGATGTGTGCATTCTACTCACATAGTTGAAATTTCCTTCTGATACTGCAGTTTTGAAACAGTCTTTTTGAGGGATCTTCAAGTGGGCATTTTGAGGGTTTTGGGGACTATTGTGGATAAGGAAATATCTTCACATGAAAAGTAGACAGAAGTGTTCTCAGAAACTTCATTTTGATGGGTGCATTCAACTAACAAAGTACAACCTTACTTTTATAGAGCAGTTTTGAAACAGTCTTTTTGTAGACTCTGCAAGTGGATATTTGGAGCGCTTTGAAGCCTTCGTTGGAAACGGGAATATCTTCCCCTTGAAACTAGACAGAAGCATTCTCAGAAACTTCTTTGTGATGTGGGCATTGAACTCACGGAGCTGAACCTTCCTTTGGATTGAGCAGTTTTGAAAAACTCTTCCTTTATAATCTGCAGGTGGATATTTGGAGTGCTTTGAAGCCTTCTTTGGAAACGGGAGTATCGTCACATAAAAATAGACAGAAGTATTCCCAGAAACTTCTTTGTGATTTGTGCATTCAACTCACAGAGTTGAAGCTTCTTTTTGATAGAGCAGTTTTGAAACACCCTTTTTGCACAATCTGCAGGAGGATATTTGGAGCTCTTTGAGTGCTACATTGGAAACGGGAATATCGTCACCTAAAAACTAGAAAGAAGCATTCTCTGAAACCACTTTGTGATGTGTGCATTCATCTCACAGAGTTGAACCTTCCTTTTGATAGAGCAGTTTTGAAACCCTCTTTTTGTACAATCTGCAAGTGGATATTTGGAGCAAATTGAAGCCTTCTTTGGAAATGGGAATATCTTAAATCTAAAAATTAGGCAGAAGCATTCTCAGAAACTACTTTGTGATGTGTGCATTCAACTCACAGAATTGAACCTTCCTTTTGATACAGCAGTTTTGAAACACTCTTTGTTTAGAATCTGCAAGTGGATATTTGGAGCACATTTATGCCTGTGGTAGAAAAGGAAATATCTTCACATAAAAACTAGACAGAAGCATTCTCAGAAACGAATTTGTGTTGTGTGCATTCTACTCCCATAGTTGAAAATTTCTTTTGATAGAGCAGTCTGGAAACACTCTGTTTCTAAAATCTGCAAATGGACATTTGGAGCGCTTTGAAGGTTATGATGGAAAAGGGAATATCTTCGCATTAAAACTAGACAGAAGCATTCTCAGAAACTTCTTTGTGATGTGTGCATTCAACTCCCAGGTTGAACCTTTCTTTTGTTAGAGCAGTTTTGAAACACTCCTTTTGTAGAATCTGCAGGCGGATATTTAAGTACTCTTTGAAGCATTCTTTGGAAATGAGAATATCTTCACCTAAAACCTAGACAGAAGCATTCTCAGAAACATCTTTGTGATGTGTCCATTCATCTCACAGAGTTGATAGAACAGTTTTGATAGAGCAGTTTTAAAACACCCTTTTTAAAGAATCTGCCAGTTCATATGTGCAGTGCTTTGAGGCTTATGGTAGAAAAGGAAATATCTTCATATAAAAACTAGACAGAAGCATTCTCAGAAACGACTTTGTGATGTGTGCATTCTACACACAAAGTTGAAACTTTCTTTTGATAGAGCAGTTTTGAAACAGTCTTTCCGAAGAATCTTCAAGTGGACATTTCGAGGGCTTTGAGGACCATTGCGGATAAGGAAATATCTTCCCATAAGAAGTAGACAGAAGTATAATCAGAAACTTCATTTTGATGTGTACATTCAACTCACAAAGCAGACCCTTACTTTTGATAGAGAAGTTTTGAAACACTCTTTTTGTAGAATCTGCAATTGGATATTTGGAGCGCTTTCAGGCCTCTGGTAGAAAAGGAAATATCTTCACATAAAAACTAGACAGAAGCATTCTCAGAAACGACTTTGTGATGTGTGTATTCTACTCCCATAGTTGAACATTTCTTTTGATAGAGCCGCCTGGAAACAATCTTCTTGTAGAATCTGCAAGTGGACATTTGGAGCGTTTCGAAGGCTGTGGTTGAAAAGGTAATATCTTCACCCAAAAACTAAATGGAAGCATTGTCCGAAACTTTTTGTGATGTGTGCGTTCAACTCACAGAGCTGAACCTTCCTTTTCATAGACCAGTTTTGAATCACTCTTTTTGTAGAATCCGCATTTAGATATTTGGAGCGCTTTGAAGACTTCATTGGAATCGCGAATACCTTCACATAAAAACTAGACAGAACCATTCTCAGAAACTTCTTTGAGATGTGTGCATTCCACTCACAGAGCTGAACCTTTCTTTTGATAGTGCAGTTTTGAAACATTCTTTTTAAAAAATCTGCAGTTGGACATTTGGAGCTCTTTTAGGCTATCGGTTGAAAAGGAAATATCTTCACATTAAAACAAGACAGAAGCATTCTCAGAAACTCCTTTATGATGTCTGCATTCAACTCACAGAGTTGAACCTTCCTTTTCATAGAGCAGTTTTGAAACACTCTTTCTGTAGAATCTGGAGGCGGATATTAGGGTGCTTTGAAGCCTTCTTGGGAAACAGGATTATCTTCACATAAAAATTAGACAGAAGCATTCTCAGAAACTTCTTTGTGATGTGTGCATTCAACTCACAGCGTTGAAACTTCCTTTTGCCAGAGCAGTTTTGAAACCCTCTTTTTGAAGAATCTGAAAGTGCATAATTGCAGCACTTTGAGGCTTAAGGTCGAAAAGGAAATATCTTCATATAAAAACTAGACAGAAGCATTCTCAGAAACTACTTTGTGATGTGTGCATTCTACTCACATAGTTGAAATTTCCTTCTGATACTGCAGTTTTGAAACAGTCTTTTTGAGGGATCTTCAAGTGGGCATTTTGAGGGCTTTGGGGACTATTGTGGATAAGGAAATATCTTCACATGAAAAGTAGACAGAAGTGTTCTCAGAAACTTCATTTTGATGGGTGCATTCCACTAACAAAGTACAACCTTACTTTTATAGAGCAGTTTTGAAACAGTCTTTTTGTAGACTCTGCAAGTGGATATTTGGAGCGCTTTGAAGCCTTCGTTGGAAACGGGAATATCTTCCCCTTGAAACTAGACAGAAGCATTCTCAGAAACTTCTTTGTGATGTGGGCATTGAACTCACGGAGCTGAACCTTCCTTTGGATTGAGCAGTTTTGAAAAACTCTTCCTTTATAATCTGCAGGTGGATATTTGGAGTGCTTTGAAGCCTTCTTTGGAAACGGGATTATCGTCACATAAAAATAGACAGAAGTATTCCCAGAAACTTCTTTGTGATTTGTGCATTCAACTCACAGAGTTGAAGCTTCTTTTTGATAGAGCAGTTTTGAAACACCCTTTTTGCACAATCTGCAGGAGGATATTTGGAGCTCTTTGAGTGCTACATTGGAAACGGGAATATCGTCACCTAAAAACTAGAAAGAAGCATTCTCTGAAACCACTTTGTGATGTGTGCATTCATCTCACAGAGTTGAACCTTCCTTTTGATAGAGCAGTTTTGAAACCCTCTTTTTGTACAATCTGCAAGTGGATATTTGGAGCAAATTGAAGCCTTCTTTGGAAATGGGAATATCTAAAAACTAAAAATTAGGCAGAAGCATTCTCAGAAACTACTTTGTGATGTGTGCATTCAACTCACAGAGTTGAACCTTCCTTTTGATAGAGCAGTTTTGAAACCCTCTTTTTGTACAATCTGCAAGTGGATATTTGGAGCAAATTGAAGCCTTCTTTGGAAATGGGAATATCTTAAAACTAAAAATTAGGCAGAAGCATTCTCAGAAACTACTTTGTGATGTGTGCATTCAACTCACAGAATTGAACCTTCCTTTTGATACAGCAGTTTTGAAACACTCTTTTTTTAGAATCTGCAAGTGGATATTTGGAGCACATTTATGCCTGTGGTAGAAAAGGAAATATCTTCACATAAAAACTAGACAGAAGCATTCTCAGAAACGAATTAGTGTTGTGTGCCTTCTACTCCCATAGTTGAAAATTTCTTTTGATAGAGCAGTCTGGAACCACTCTGTTTCTAAAACCTGCAAATGGACATTTGGAGCGCTTTGAACGTTATGATGGAAAAGGGAATATCTTCGCATTAAAACTAGACAGAAGCATTCTCAGAAACTTCTTTGTGATGTGTGCATTCAACTCCCAGGTTGAAACTTTCTTTTGTTAGAGCAGTTTTGAAACACTCCTTTTGTAGAATCTGCAGGCGGATATTTAAGTACTCTTTGAAGCATTCTTTGGAAACGAGAATATCTTCACCTAAAACCTAGACAGAAGCATTCTCAGAAAGATCTTTGTGATGTGTCCATTCATCTCACAGAGTTGATAGAACAGTTTTGATAGAGCAGTTTTGTAACACTCTTTTTAAAGAATCTGCCAGTTCATATGTGCAGTGCTTTGAGGCTTATGGTAGAAAAGGAAATATCTTCATATAAAAACTAGACAGAAGCATTCTCAGAAACGACTTTGTGATGTGTGCATTCTACACACAAAGTTGAAACTTTCTTTTGATAGAGCAGTTTTGAAACCGTCTTTCCGAAGAATCTTCAAGTGGGCATTTCGAGGGCTTTGAGGACCATTGCGGATAAGGAAATATCTTCCCATAGGAAGTAGACAGAAGTATAATCAGAAACTTCATTTTGATGTGTACATTCAACTCACAAAGCAGACCCTTACTTTTGATAGAGAAGTTTTGAAACACTCTTTTTGTAGAATCTGCAATTGGACGTTTGGAGCGCTTTCAGGCCTCTGGTAGAAAAGGAAATATCTTCACATAAAAACTAGACAGAAGCATTCTCAGAAACGACTTTGTGATGTGTGTATTCTACTCCCATAGTTGAACATTTCTTTTGATAGAGCCGCCTGGAAACAATCTTCTTGTAGAATCTTCAAGTGGACATTTGGAGCATTTCGAAGGCTGTGGTTGAAAAGGTAATATCTTCACCTAAAAACTAAATGGAAGCATTCTCCGAAACTTTTTGTGATGTGTGCGTTCAACTCACAGAGCTGAACCTTCCTTTTCATAGACCAGTTTTGAATCACTCTTTTTGTAGAATCCGCATTTAGATATTTGGAGCACTTTGAAGTCTTCATTGGAATCGCGAATACCTTCACATAAAAACTAGACAGAACCATTCTCAGAAACTTCTTTGAGATGTGTGCATTCAACTCACAGAGCTGAACCTTTCTTTTGATAGTGCAGTTTTGAAACATTCTTTTTAAAAAATCTGCAGTTGGACATTTGGAGCTCTTTTAGACTATCGGTTGAAAAGGAAATATCTTCACATTAAAACAAGACAGAAGCATTCTCAGAAACTCCTTTATGATGTCTGCATTCAACTCACAGAGTTGAACCTTCCTTTTGATAGAGCAGTTTTGAAACACTCTTTCTGTAGAATCTGGAGGCGGATATTAGGGTGCTTTGAAGCCTTCTTGGGAAACAGGATTATCTTCACATAAAAATTAGACAGAAGCATTCTCAGAAACTTCTTTGTGATGTGTGCATTCAACTCACAGCGTTGAAACTTCCTTTTGCCAGAGCAGTTTTGAAACCCTCTTTTTGAAGAATCTGAAAGTGCATAATTGCAGCACTTTGAGGCTTAAGGTCGAAAAGGAAATATCTTCATATAAAAACTAGACAGAAGCATTCTCAGAAACTACTTTGTGATGTGTGCATTCTACTCACATAGTTGAAATTTCCTTCTGATACTGCAGTTTTGAAACAGTCTTTTTGAGGGATCTTCAAGTGGGCATTTTGAGGGCTTTGGGGACTATTGTGGATAAGGAAATATCTTCACATGAAAAGTAGACAGAAGTGTTCTCAGAAACTTCATTTTGATGGGTGCATTCCACTAACAAAGTACAACCTTACTTTTATAGAGCAGTTTTGAAACAGTCTTTTTGTAGACTCTGCAAGTGGATATTTGGAGCGCTTTGAAGCCTTCGTTGGAAACGGGAATATCTTCCCCTTGAAACTAGACAGAAGCATTCTCAGAAACTTCTTTGTGATGTGGGCATTGAATTCACGGAGCTGAACCTTCCTTTGGATTGAGCAGTTTTGAAAAACTCTTCCTTTATAATCTGCAGGTGGATATTTGGAGTGCTTTGAAGCCTTCTTTGGAAACGGGAGTATCGTCACATAAAAATAGACAGAAGTATTCCCAGAAACTTCTTTGTGATTTGTGCATTCAACTCACAGAGTTGAAGCTTCTTTTTGATAGAGCAGTTTTGAAACACCCTTTTTGCACAATCTGCAGGAGGATATTTGGAGCTCTTTGAGTGCTACATTGGAAACGGGAATATCGTCACCTGAAAACTAGAAAGAAGCATTCTCTGAAACCACTTTGTGATGTGTGCATTCATCTCACAGAGTTGAACCTTCCTTTTGATAGAGCAGTTTTGAAACCCTCTTTTTGTACAATCTGCAAGTGGATATTTGGAGCAAATTGAAGCCTTCTTTGGAAATGGGAATATCTTAAAACTAAAAATTAGGCAGAAGCATTCTCAGAAACTGCTTTGTGATGTGTGCATTCAACTCACAGAATTGAACCTTCCTTTTCATACAGCAGTTTTGAAACACTCTTTGTTTAGAATCTGCAAGTGGATATTTGGAGCACATTTATGCCTGTGGTAGAAAAGGAAATATCTTCACATAAAAACTAGACAGAAGCATTCTCAGAAACGAATTTGTGTTGTGTGCATTCTACTCCCATAGTTGAAAATTTCTTTTGATAGAGCAGTCTGGAGACACTCTGTTTCTAAAATCTGCAAATGGACATTTGGAGCGCTTTGAAGGTTATGATGGAAAAGGGAATATCTTCGCATTAAAACTAGACAGAAGCATTCTCAGAAACTTCTTTGTGATGTGTGCATTCAACTCCCAGGTTGAACCTTTCTTTTGTTAGAGCAGTTTTGAAACACTCCTTTTGTAGAATCTGCAGGCGGATATTGAAGTACTCTTTGAAGCATTCTTTGGAAACGAGAATATCTTCACCTAAAACCTAGACAGAAGCATTCTCAGAAACATCTTTGTGATGTGTCCATTCATCTCACAGAGTTGATAGAACAGTTTTGATAGAGCAGTTTTGAAACACTCTTTTTAAAGAATCTGCCAGTTCATATGTGCAGTGCTTTGAGGCTTATGGTAGAAAAGGAAATATCTTCCTATAAAAACTAGACAGAAGCATTCTCAGAAACGACTTTGTGATGTGTGCATTCTACACACAAAGTTGAAACTTTCTTTTGATAGAGCAGTTTTGAAACCGTCTTTCCGAAGAATCTTCAAGTGGGCATTTCGAGGGCTTTGAGGACCATTGCGGATAAGGAAATATCTTCCCATAAGAAGTAGACAGAAGTATAATCAGAAACTTCATTTTGATGTGTACATTCAACTCACAAAGCAGACCCTTACTTTTGATAGAGAAGTTTTGAAACACTCTTTTTGTAGAATCTGCAATTGGATGTTTGGAGCGCTTTCAGGCCTCTGGTAGAAAAGGAAATATCTTCACATAAAAACTAGACAGAAGCATTCTCAGAAACGACTTTGTGATGTGTGTATTCTACTCCCATAGTTGAACATTTCTTTTGATAGAGCCGCCTGGAAACAATCTTCTTGTAGAATCTGCAAGTGGACATTTGGAGCGTTTCGAAGGCTGTGGTTGTAAAGGTAATATCTTCACCTAAAAACTAAATGGAAGCATTGTCGGAAACTTTTTGTGATGTGTGCGTTCAACTCACAGAGCTGAACCTTCCTTTTCATAGACCAGTTTTGAATCACTCTTTTTGTAGAATCCGCATTTAGATATTTGGAGCGCTTTGAAGACTTCATTGGAATCGCGAATACCTTCACATAAAAACTAGACAGAACCATTCTCAGAAACTTCTTTGAGATGTGTGCATTCAACTCACAGAGCTGAACCTTTCTTTTGATAGTGCAGTTTTGAAACATTCTTTTTAAAAAATCTGCAGTTGGACATTTGGAGCTCTTTTAGGCTATCGGTTGAAAAGGAAATATCTTCACATTAAAACAAGACAGAAGCATTCTCAGAAACTCCTTTATGATGTCTGCATTCAACTCACAGAGTTGAACCTTCCTTTCCATAGAGCAGTTTTGAAACACTCTTTCTGTAGAATCTGGAGGCGGATATTAGGGTGCTTTGAAGCCTTCTTGGGAAACAGGATTATCTTCACATAAAAATTAGACAGAAGCATTCTCAGAAACTTCTTTGTGATGTGTGCATTCAACTCACAGCGTTGAAACTTCCTTTTGCCAGAGCAGTTTTGAAACCCTCTTTTTGAAGAATCTGAAAGTGCATAATTGCAGCACTTTGAGGCTTAAGGTCGAAAAGGAAATATCTTCATATAAAAACTAGACAGAAGCATTCTCAGAAACTACTTTGTGATGTGTGCATTCTACTCACATAGTTGAAATTTCCTTCTGATACTGCAGTTTTGAAACAGTCTTTTTGAGGGATCTTCAAGTGGGCATTTTGAGGGCTTTGGGGACTATTGTGGATAAGGAAATATCTTCATATGAAAAGTAGACAGAAGTGTTCTCAGAAACTTCATTTTGATGGGTGCATTCCACTAACAAAGTACAACCTTACTTTTATAGAGCAGTTTTGAAACAGTCTTTTTGTAGACTCTGCAAGTCGGTATTTGGAGCGCTTTGAAGCCTTCGTTGGAAACGGGAATATCTTCCCCTTGAAACCAGACAGAAGCATTCTCAGAAACTTCTTTGTGATGTGGGCATTGAACTCACGGAGCTGAACCTTCCTTTGGATTGAGCAGTTTTGAAAAACTCTTCCTTTATAATCTGCAGGTGGATATTTGGAGTGCTTTGAAGCCTTCTTTGGAAACGGGAGTATCGTCACATAAAAATAGACAGAAGTATTCTCAGAGACTTCTTTGTGATTTGTGCATTCAACTCACAGAGTTGAAGCTTCTTTTTGATAGAGCAGTTTTGAAACACCCTTTTTGCACAATCTGCAGGAGGATATTTGGAGCTCTTTGAGTGCTACATTGGAAACGGGAATATCGTCACCTAAAAACTAGAAAGAAGCATTCTCGGAAACCACTTTGTGATGTGTGCATTCATCTCACAGAGTTGAACCTTCCTTTTGATAGAGCAGTTTTGAAACCCTCTTTTTGTACACTCTGCAAGTGGATATTTGGAGCAAATTGAAGCCTTCTTTGGAAATGGGAATATCTTAAATCTAAAAATTAGGCAGAAGCATTCTCAGAAACTACTTTGTGATGTGTGCATTCAACTCACAGAATTGAACCTTCCTTTTGATACAGCAGTTTTGAAACACTCTTTGTTTAGAATCTGCAAGTGGATATTTGGAGCACATTTATGCCTGTGGTAGAAAAGGAAATATCTTCACATAAAAACTAGACAGAAGCATTCTCAGAAACGAATTAGTGTTGTGTGTATTCTACTCCCATAGTTGAAAATTTCTTTTGATAGAGCAGTCTGGAACCACTCTGTTTCTAAAATCTGCAAATGGACATTTGGAGCGCTTTGAAGGTTATGATGGAAAAGGGAATATCTTCGCATTAAAACTAGACAGAAGCATTCTCAGAAACTTCTTTGTGATGTGTGCATTCAACTCCCAGGTTGAACTTTTCTTTTGTTAGAGCAGTTTTGAAACACTCCTTTTGTAGAATCCGCAGGCGGATATTTAAGTACTCTTTGAAGCATTCTTTGGAAACGAGAATATCTTCACCTAAAACCTAGACAGAAGCATTCTCAGAAACATCCTTGTGATGTGTCCATTCATCTCACAGAGTTGATAGAACAGTTTTGATAGAGCAGTTTTGAAACACTCTTTTTAAAGAATCTGCCAGTTCATATGTGCAGTGCTTTGAGGCTTATGGCAGAAAAGGAAATATCTTCATATAAAAACTAGACAGAAGCATTCTCAGAAACGACTTTGTGATGTGTGCATTCTACACACAAAGTTGAAACTTTCTTTTGATAGAGCAGTTTTGAAACCGTCTTTCCGAAGAATCTTCAAGTGGGCATTTCGAGGGCTTTGAGGACCATTGCGGATAAGGAAATATCTTCCCATAAGAAGTAGACAGAAGTATAATCAGAAACTTCATTTTGATGTGTACATTCAACTCACAAAGCAGACCCTTACTTTTGATAGAGAAGTTTTGAAACACTCTTTTTGTAGAATCTGCAATTGGATGTTTGGAGCGCTTTCAGGCCTCTGGTAGAAAAGGAAATATCTTCACATAAAAACTAGACAGAAGTATTCTCAGAAACGACTTTGTGATGTGTGTATTCTACTCCCATAGTTGAACATTTCTTTTGATAGAGCCGCCTGGAAACAATCTTCTTGTAGAATCTGCAAGTGGAGATTTGGAGCGTTTCGAAGGCTGTGGTTGTAAAGGTAATATCTTCACCTAAAAACTAAATGGAAGCATTGTCGGAAACTTTTTGTGATGTGTGCGTTCAACTCACAGAGCTGAACCTTCCTTTTCATAGACCAGTTTTGAATCACTCTTTTTGTAGAATCCGCATTTAGATATTTGGAGCGCTTTGAAGACTTCATTGGAATCGCGAATACCTTCACATAAAAACTAGACAGAACCATTCTCAGAAACTTCTTTGAGATGTGTGCATTCAACTCACAGAGCTTAACCTTTCTTTTGATAGTGCAGTTTTGAAACATTCTTTTTAAAAAATCTGCAGTTGGACATTTGGAGCTCTTTTAGGCTATCGGTTGAAAAGGAAATATCTTCACATTAAAACAAGGCAGAAGCATTCTCAGAAACTCCTTTATGATGTCTGCATTCAACTCACAGAGTTGAACCTTCCTTTCCATAGAGCAGTTTTGAAACACTCTTTCTGTAGAATCTGGAGGCGGATATTAGGGTGCTTTGAAGCCTTCTTGGGAAACAGGATTATCTTCACATAAAAATTAGACAGAAGCATTCTCAGAAACTTCTTTGTGATGTGTGCATTCAACTCACAGCGTTGAAACTTCCTTTTGCCAGAGCAGTTTTGAAACCCTCTTTTTGAAGAATCTGAAAGTGCATAATTGCAGCACTTTGAGGCTTAAGGTCGAAAAGGAAATATCTTCATATAAAAACTAGACAGAAGCATTCTCAGAAACTACTTTGTGATGTGTGCATTCTACTCACATAGTTGAAATTTCCTTCTGATACTGCAGTTTTGAAACAGTCTTTTTGAGGGATCTTCAAGTGGGCATTTTGAGGGCTTTGGGGACTATTGTGGATAAGGAAATATCTTCACATGAAAAGTAGACAGAAGTGTTCTCAGAAACTTCATTTTGATGGGTGCATTCCACTAACAAAGTACAACCTTACTTTTATAGAGCAGTTTTAACACAGTCTTTTTGTAGACTCTGCAAGTGGATATTTGGAGCGCTTTGAAGCCTTCGTTGGAAACGGGAATATCTTCCCCTTGAAACTAGACAGAAGCATTCTCAGAAACTTCTTTGTGATGTGGGCATTGAACTCACGGAGCTGAACCTTCCTTTGGATTGAGCAGTTTTGAAAAACTCTTCCTTTATAATCTGCAGGTGGATATTTGGAGTGCTTTGAAGCCTTCTTTGGAAACGGGAGTATCGTCACATAAATATAGACAGAAGTATTCCCAGAAACTTCTTTGTGATTTGTGCATTCAACTCACAGAGTTGAAGCTTCTTTTTGATAGAGCAGTTTTGAAACACCCTTTTTGCACAATCTGCAGGAGGATATTTGGAGCTCTTTGAGTGCTACATTGGAAACGGGAATATCGTCACCTAAAAACTAGAAAGAAGCATTCTCTGAAACCACTTTGTGATGTGTGCATTCATCTCACAGAGTTGAACCTTCCTTTTGATAGACCAGTTTTGAAACCCTCTTTTTGTACAATCTGCAAGTGGATATTTGGAGCAAATTGAAGCCTTCTTTGGAAATGGGAATATCTTAAAACTAAAAATTAGGCAGAAGCATTCTCAGAAACTGCTTTGTGATGTGTGCATTCAACTCACAGAATTGAACCTTCCTTTTCATACAGCAGTTTTGAAACACTCTTTGTTTAGAATCTGCAAGTGGATATTTGGAGCACATTTATGCCTGTGGTAGAAAAGGAAATATCTTCACATAAAAACTAGACAGAAGCATTCTCAGAAACGAATTTGTGTTGTGTGCATTCTACTCCCATAGTTGAAAATTTCTTTTGATAGAGCAGTCTGGAGACACTCTGTTTCTAAAATCTGCAAATGGACATTTGGAGCGCTTTGAAGTTTATGATGGAAAAGGGAATATCTTCGCATTAAAACTAGACAGAAGCATTCTCAGAAACTTCTTTGTGATGTGTGCATTCAACACCCAGGTTGAACCTTTCTTTTGTTAGAGCAGTTTTTAAACACTCCTTTTGTAGAATCTGCAGGCGGATATTTAAGTACTCTTTGAAGCATTCTTTGGAAACGAGAATATCTTCACCTAAAACCTAGACAGAAGCATTCTCAGAAACATCTTTGTGATGTGTCCATTCATCTCACAGAGTTGGTAGAACAGTTTTGATAGAGCAGTTTTGAAACACTCTTTTTAAAGAATCTGCCAGTTCATATGTGCAGTGCTTTGAGGCTTATGGTAGAAAAGGAAATATCTTCCTATAAAAACTAGACAGAAGCATTCTCAGAAACGACTTTGTGATGTGTGCATTCTACACACATAGTTGAAACTTTCTTTTGATAGAGCAGTTTTGAAACCGTCTTTCCGAAGAATCTTCAAGTGGGCATTTCGAGGGCTTTGAGGACCATTGCGGATAAGGAAATATCTTCCCATAAGAAGTAGACAGAAGTATAATCAGAAACTTCATTTTGATGTGTACATTCAACTCACAAAGCAGACCCTTACTTTTGATAGAGAAGTTTTGAAACACTCTTTTTGTAGAATCTGCAATTGGATGTTTGGAGCGCTTTCAGGCCTCTGGTAGAAAAGGAAATATCTTCACATAAAAACTAGACAGAAGCATTCTCAGAAACGACTTTGTGATGTGTGTATTCTACTCCCATAGTTGAACATTTCTTTTGATAGAGCCGCCTGGAAACAATCTTCTTGTAGAATCTGCAAGTGGACATTTGGAGCGTTTCGAAGGCTGTGGTTGAAAAGGTAATATCTTCACCTAAAAACTAAATGGAAGCATTGTCCGAAACTTTTTGTGATGTGTGCGTTCAACTCAAAGAGCTGAA
Organism: Homo sapiens; assembly: GCF_000001405.40. Taxonomy (NCBI): domain Eukaryota; kingdom Metazoa; phylum Chordata; class Mammalia; order Primates; family Hominidae; genus Homo; species Homo sapiens. The sequence goes on from NC_000007.14 coordinate 61,203,588, forward strand.
CCTTCCTTTTCATAGACCAGTTTTGAATCACTCTTTTTGTAGTATCCGCATTTAGATATTTGGAGCGCTTTGAAGACTTCATTGGAATCGCGAATACCTTCACATAAAAACTAGACAGAACCATTCTCAGAAACTTCTTTGAGATGTGTGCATTCAACTCACAGAGCTGAACCTTTCTTTTGATAGTGCAGTTTTGAAACATTCTTTTTAAAAAATCTGCAGTTGGACATTTGGAGCTCTTTTAGGCTATCGGTTGAAAAGGAAATATCTTCACATTAAAACAAGACAGAAGCATTCTCAGAAACTCCTTTATGATGTCTGCATTCAACTCACAGAGTTGAACCTTCCTTTTGATAGAGCAGTTTTGAAACACTCTTTCTGTAGAATCTGGAGGCGGATATTAGGGTGCTTTGAAGCCTTCTTGGGAAACAGGATTATCTTCACATAAAAATTAGACAGAAGCATTCTCAGAAACTTCTTTGTGATGTGTGCATTCAACTCACAGCGTTGAAACTTCCTTTTGCCAGAGCAGTTTTGAAACCCTCTTTTTGAAGAATCTGAAAGTGCATAATTGCAGCACTTTGAGGCTTAAGGTCGAAAAGGAAATATCTTCATATAAAAACTAGACAGAAGCATTCTCAGAAACTACTTTGTGATGTGTGCATTCTACTCACATAGTTGAAATTTCCTTCTGATACTGCAGTTTTGAAGCAGTCTTTTTGAGGGATCTTCAAGTGGGCATTTTGAGGGCTTTGGGGACTATTGTGGATAAGGAAATATCTTCACATGAAAAGTAGACAGAAGTGTTCTCAGAAACTTCATTTTGATGGGTGCATTCAACTAACAAAGTACAACCTTATTTTATAGAGCAGTTTTGAAACGGTCTTTTTGTAGACACTGCAAGTGGATATTTGGAGCGCTTTGAAGCCTTCGTTGGAAACGGGAATATCTTCCCATTGAAACTAGACAGAAGCATTCTCAGAAACTTCTTTGTGATGTGGGCATTGAACTCACGGAGCTGAACCTTCCTTTGGATTGAGCAGTTTTGAAAAACTCTTCCTTTATAATCTGCAGGTGGATATTTGGAGTGCTTTGAAGCCTTCTTTGGAAACGGGAGTATCGTCACATAAAAATAGACAGAAGTATTCCCAGAAACTTCTTTGTGATTTGTGCATTCAACTCACAGAGTTGAAGCTTCTTTTTGATAGAGCAGTTTTGAAACACCCTTTTTGCACAATCTGCAGGAGGATATTTGGAGCTCTTTGAGTGCTACATTGGAAACGGGAATATCGTCACCTAAAAACTAGAAAGAAGCATTCTCTGAAACCACTTTGTGATGTGTGCATTCATCTCACAGAGTTGAACCTTCCTTTTGATAGAGCAGTTTTGAAACCCTCTTTTTGTACAATCTGCAAGTGGATATTTGGAGCAAATTGAAGCCTTCTTTGGAAATGGGAATATCTTAAATCTAAAAATTAGGCAGAAGCATTCTCAGAAACTACTTTGTGATGTGTGCATTCAACTCACAGAATTGAACCTTCCTTTTGATACAGCAGTTTTGAAACACTCTTTGTTTAGAATCTGCAAGTGGATATTTGGAGCACATTTATGCCTGTGGTAGAAAAGGAAATATCTTCACATAAAAACTAGACAGAAGCATTCTCAGAAACGAATTTGTGTTGTGTGCATTCTACTCCCATAGTTGAAAATTTCTTTTGATAGAGCAGTCTGGAACCACTCTGTTTCTAAAATCTGCAAATGGACATTTGGAGCGCTTTGAAGGTTATGATGGAAAAGGGAATATCTTCGCATTAAAACTAGACAGAAGCATTCTCAGAAACTTCTTTGTGATGTGTGCATTCAACTCCCAGGTTGAACCTTTCTTTTGTTAGAGCAGTTTTGAAACACTCCTTTTGTAGAATCTGCAGGCGGATATTTAAGTACTCTTTGAAGCATTCTTTGGAAACGAGAATATCTTCACCTAAAACCTAGACAGAAGCATTCTCAGAAAGATCTTTGTGATGTGTCCATTCATCTCACAGAGTTGATAGAACAGTTTTGATAGAGCAGTTTTGAAACACTCTTTTTAAAGAATCTGCCAGTTCATATGTGCAGTGCTTTGGGGCTTATGGTAGAAAAGGAAATATCTTCATATAAAAACTAGACAGAAGCATTCTCAGAAACGACTTTGTGATGTGTGCATTCTACACACAAAGTTGAAACTTTCTTTTGATAGAGCAGTTTTGAAACAGTCTTTCCGAAGAATCTTCAAGTGGGCATTTCGAGGGCATTGAGGACCATTGCGGATAAGGAAATATCTTCCCATAAGAAGTAGACAGAAGTATAATCAGAAACTTCATTTTGATGTGTACATTCAACTCACAAAGCAGACCCTTACTTTTGATAGAGAAGTTTTGAAACAGTCTTTTTGTAGAATCTGCAATTGGATATTTGGAGCGCTTTCAGGCCTCTGGTAGAAAAGGAAATATCTTCACATAAAAACTAGACAGAAGCATTCTCAGAAACGACTTTGTGATGTGTGTATTCTACTCCCATAGTTGAACATTTCTTTTGATAGAGCCGCCTGGAAACAATCTTCTTGTAGAATCTGCAAGTGGACATTTGGAGCGTTTCGAAGGCTGTTGTTGAAAAGGTAATATCTTCACCTAAAAACTAAATGGAAGCATTGTCCGAAACTTTTTGTGATGTGTGCGTTCAACTCACAGAGCTGAACCTTCCTTTTCATAGACCAGTTTTGAATCACTCTTTTTGTAGAATCCGCATTTAGATATTTGGAGCGCTTTGAAGACTTCATTGGAATCGCGAATACCTTCACATAAAAACTAGACAGAACCATTCTCAGAAACTTCTTTGAGATGTGTGCATTCAACTCACAGAGCTGAACCTTTCTTTTGATAGTGCAGTTTTGAAACATTCTTTTTAAAAAATCTGCAGTTGGACATTTGGAGCTCTTTTAGGCTATCGGTTGAAAAGGAAATATCTTCACATTAAAACAAGACAGAAGCATTCTCAGAAACTCCTTTATGATGTCTGCATTCAACTCACAGAGTTGAACCTTCCTTTCCATAGAGCAGTTTTGAAACACTCTTTCTGTAGAATCTGGAGACAGATATTAGGGTGCTTTGAAGCCTTCTTGGGAAACAGGATTATCTTCACATAAAAATTAGACAGAAGCATTCTCAGAAACTTCTTTGTGATGTGTGCATTCAACTCACAGCGTTGAAACTTCCTTTTGCCAGAGCAGTTTTGAAACCCTCTTTTTGAAGAATCTGAAAGTGCATAATTGCAGCACTTTGAGGCTTAAGGTCGAAAAGGAAATATCTTCATATAAAAACTAGACAGAAGCATTCTCAGAAACTACTTTGTGATGTGTGCATTCTGCTCATATAGTTGAAATTTGCTTCTGATACTGCAGTTTTGAAACAGTCTTTTTGAGGGATCTTCAAGTGGGCATTTTGAGGGCTTTGGGGACTATTGTGGATAAGGAAATATCTTCACATGAAAAGTAGACAGAAGTGTTCTCAGAAACTTCATTTTGATGGGTGCTTTCAACTAACAAAGTACAACCTTACTTTTATAGAGCAGTTTTGAAACAGTCTTTTTGTAGACTCTGCAAGCGGATATTTGGAGCGCTTTGAAGCCTTCGTTGGAAACGGGAATATCTTCCCCTTGAAACCACACAGAAGCATTCTCAGAAACTTCTTTGTGATGTGGGCATTGAACTCACGGAGCTGAACCTTCCTTTGGATTGAGCAGTTTTGAAAAACTCTTCCTTTATAATCTGCAGGTGGATATTTGGAGTGCTTTGAAGCCTTCTTTGGAAACGGGAGTATCGTCACATAAAAATAGACAGAAGTATTCCCAGAAACTTCTTTGTGATTTGTGCATTCAACTCACAGAGTTGAAGCTTCTTTTTGATAGAGCAGTTTTGAAACACCCTTTTTGCACAATCTGCAGGAGGATATTTGGAGCTCTTTGAGTGCTACATTGGAAACGGGAATATCGTCACCTGAAAACTAGAAAGAAGCATTCTCTGAAACCACTTTGTGATGTGTGCATTCATCTCACAGAGTTGAACCTTCCTTTTGATAGAGCAGTTTTGAAACCCTCTTTTTGTACAATATGCAAGTGGATATTTGGAGCAAATTGAAGCCTTCTTTGGAAATGGGAATATCTTAAATCTAAAAATTAGGCAGAAGCATTCTCAGAAACTACTTTGTGATGTGTGCAATCAACTCACAGAATTGAACCTTCCTTTTGATACAGCAGTTTTGAAACACTCTTTGTTTAGAATCTGCAAGTGGATATTTGGAGCACATTTATGCCTGTGGTAGAAAAGGAAATATCTTCACATAAAAACTAGACAGAAGCATTCTCAGAAACGAATTTGTGTTGTGTGCATTCTACTCCCATAGTTGAAAATTTCTTTTGATAGAGCAGTCTGGAACCACTCTGTTTCTAAAATCTGCAAATGGACATTTGGAGCGCTTTGAAGGTTATGATGGAAAAGGGAATATCTTCGCATTAAAACTAGACAGAAGCATTCTCAGAAACTTCTTTGTGATGTGTGCATTCAACTCCCAGGTTGAACCTTTCTTTTGTTAGAGCAGTTTTGAAACACTCCTTTTGTAGAATCTGCAGGCGGATATTTAAGTACTCTTTGAAGCATTCTTTGGAAACGAGAATATCTTCACCTAAAACCTAGACAGAAGCATTCTCAGAAACATCTTTGTGATGTGTCCATTCATCTCAGAGAGTTGGTAGAACAGTTTTGATAGAGCAGTTTTGAAACACTCTTTTTAAAGAATCTGCCAGTTCATATGTGCAGTGCTTTGAGGCTTATGGTAGAAAAGGAAATATCTTCCTATAAAAACTAGACAGAAGCATTCTCAGAAACGACTTTGTGATGTGTGCATTCTACACACAAAGTTGAAACTTTCTTTTGATAGAGCAGTTTTGAAACCGTCTTTCCGAAGAATCTTCAAGTGGGCATTTCGAGAGCTTTGAGGACCATTGCGGATAAGGAAATATCTTCCCATAAGAAGTAGACAGAAGTATAATCAGAAACTTCATTTCGATGTGTACATTCAACTCACAAAGCAGACCCTTACTTTTGATAGAGAAGTTTTGAGACACTCTTTTTGTAGAATCTGCAATTGGATGTTTGGAGCGCTTTCAGGCCTCTGGTAGAAAAGGAAATATCTTCACATAAAAACTAGACAGAAGCATTCTCAGAAACGACTTTGTGATGTGTGTATTCTACTCCCATAGTTGAACATTTCTTTTGATAGAGCCGCCTGGAAACAATCTTCTTGTAGAATCTGCAAGTGGACATTTGGAGCGTTTTGAAGGCTGTGGTTGAAAAGGTAATATCTTCACCTAAAAACTAAATGGAAGCATTCTCCGAAACTTTTTGTGATGTGTGCGTTCAACTCACAGAGCTGAACCTTCCTTTTCATAGACCAGTTTTGAATCACTCTTTTTGTAGAATCCGCATTTAGATATTTGGAGCGCTTTGAAGACTTCATTGGAATCGCGAATACCTTCACATAAAAACTAGACAGAACCATTCTCAGAAACTTCTTTGAGATGTGTGCATTCAACTCACAGAGCTGAACCTTTCTTTTGATAGTGCAGTTTTGAAACATTCTTTTTAAAAAATCTGCAGTTGGACATTTGGAGCTCTTTTAGGCTATCGGTTGAAAAGGAAATATCTTCACATTAAAACAAGACAGAAGCATTCTCAGAAACTCCTTTATGATGTCTGCATTCAACTCACAGAGTTGAACCTTCCTTTCCATAGAGCAGTTTTGAAACACTCTTTCTGTAGAATCTGGAGGCGGATATTAGGGTGCTTTGAAGCCTTCTTGGGAAACAGGATTATCTTCACATAAAAATTAGACAGAAGCATTCTCAGAAACTTCTTTGTGATGTGTGCATTCAACTCACAGCGTTGAAACTTCCTTTTGCCAGAGCAGTTTTGAAACCCTCTTTTTGAAGAATCTGAAAGTGCATAATTGCAGCACTTTGAGGCTTAAGGTCGAAAAGGAAATATCTTCATATAAAAACTAGACAGAAGCATTCTCAGAAACTACTTTGTGATGTGTGCATTCTACTCACATAGTTGAAATTTCCTTCTGATACTGCAGTTTTGAAACAGTCTTTTTGAGGGATCTTCAAGTGGGCATTTTGAGGGCTTTGGGGACTATTGTGGATAAGGAAATATCTTCACATGAAAAGTAGACAGAAGTGTTCTCAGAAACTTCATTTTGATGGGTGCATTCCACTAACAAAGTACAACCTTACTTTTATAGAGCAGTTTTGAAACAGTCTTTTTGTAGACTCTGCAAGTGGATATTTGGAGCGCTTTGAAGCCTTCGTTGGAAACGGGAATATCTTCCCCTTGAAACCAGACAGAAGCATTCTCAGAAACTTCTTTGTGATGTGGGCATTGAACTCACGGAGCTGAACCTTCCTTTGGATTGAGCAGTTTTGAAAAACTCTTCCTTTATAATCTGCAGGTGGATATTTGGAGTGCTTTGAAGCCTTCTTTGGAAACGGGAGTATCGTCACATAAAAATAGACAGAAGTATTCCCAGAAACTTCTTTGTGATTTGTGCATTCAACTCACAGAGTTGAAGCTTCTTTTTGATAGAGCAGTTTTGAAACACCCTTTTTGCACAATCTGCAGGAGGATATTTGGAGCTCTTTGAGTGCTACATTGGAAACGGGAATATCGTCACCTAAAAACTAGAAAGAAGCATTCTCGGAAACCACTTTGTGATGTGTGCATTCATCTCACAGAGTTGAACCTTCCTTTTGATAGAGCAGTTTTGAAACCCTCTTTTTGTACAATCTGCAAGTGGATATTTGGAGCAAATTGAAGCCTTCTTTGGAAATGGGAATATCTTAAATCTAAAAATTAGGCAGAAGCATTCTCAGAAACTACTTTGTGATGTGTGCATTCAACTCACAGAATTGAACCTTCCTTTTGATACAGCAGTTTTGAAACACTCTTTTTTCAGAATCTGCAAGTGGATATTTGGAGCACATTTATGCCTGTGGTAGAAAAGGAAATATCTTCACATAAAAACTAGACAGAAGCATTCTCAGAAACGAATTTGTGTTGTGTGCATTCTACTCCCATAGTTGAAAATTTCTTTTGATAGAGCAGTCTGGAACCACTCTGTTTCTAAAATCTGCAAATGGACATTTGGAGCGCTTTGAAGGTTATGATGGAAAAGGGAATATCTTCGCATTAAAACTAGACAGAAGCATTCTCAGAAACTTCTTTGTGATGTGTGCATTCAACTCCCAGGTTGAACCTTTCTTTTGTTAGAGCAGTTTTGAAACACTCCTTTTGTAGAATCTGCAGGTGGATATTGAAGTACTCTTTGAAGCATTCTTTGGAAACGAGAATATCTTCACCTAAAACCTAGACATAAGCATTCTCAGAAACATCTTTGTGATGTGTCCATTCATCTCACAGAGTTGATAGAACAGTTTTGATAGAACAGTTTTGAAACACTCTTTTTAAAGAATCTGCCAGTTCATATGTGCAGTGCTTTGAGGCTTATGGTAGAAAAGGAAATATCTTCATATAAAAACTAGACAGAAGCATTCTCAGAAACGACTTTGTGATGTGTGCATTCTACACACAAAGTTGAAACTTTCTTTTGATAGAGCAGTTTTGAAACCGTCTTTCCGAAGAATCTTCAAGTGGGCATTTCGAGGGCTTTGAGGACCATTGCGGATAAGGAAATATCTTCCCATAAGAAGTAGACAGAAGTATAATCAGAAACTTCATTTTGATGTGTACATTCAACTCACAAAGCAGACCCTTACTTTTGATAGAGAAGTTTTGAAACACTCTTTTTGTAGAATCTGCAATTGGATATTTGGAGCGCTTTCAGGCCTCTGGTAGAAAAGGAAATATCTTCACATAAAAACTAGACAGAAAAATTCTCAGAAACGACTTTGTGATGTGTGTATTCTACTCCCATAGTTGAACATTTCTTTTGATAGAGCCGCCTGGAAACAATCTTCTTGTAGAATCTGCAAGTGGACATTTGGAGCGTTTCGAAGGCTGTGGTTGAAAAGGTAATATCTTCACCTAAAAACTAAATGGAAGCATTGTCCGAAACTTTTTGTGATGTGTGCGTTCAACTCACAGAGCTGAACCTTCCTTTTCATAGACCAGTTTTGAATCACTCTTTTTGTAGAATCCGCATTTAGATATTTGGAGCGCTTTGAAGACTTCATTGGAATCGCGAATACCTTCACATAAAAACTAGACAGAACCATTCTCAGAAACTTCTTTGAGATGTGTGCATTCAACTCACAGAGCTGTACCTTTCTTTTGATAGTGCAGTTTTGAAACATTCTTTTTAAAATATCTGCAGTTGGACATTTGGAGCTCTTTTAGGCTATCGGTTGAAAAGGAAATATCTTCACATTAAAACAAGACAGAAGCATTCTCAGAAACTCCTTTATGATGTCTGCATTCAACTCACAGTGTTGAACCTTCCTTTCCATAGAGCAGTTTTGAAACACTCTTTCTGTAGAATCTGGAGGCGGATATTAGGGTGCTTTGAAGCCTTCTTGGGAAACAGGATTATCTTCACATAAAAATTAGACAGAAGCATTCTCAGAAACTTCTTTGTGATGTGTGCATTCAACTCACAGCGTTGAAACTTCCTTTTGCCAGAGCAGTTTTGAAACCCTCTTTTTGAAGAATCTGAAAGTGCATAATTGCAGCACTTTGAGGCTTAAGGTCGAAAAGGAAATATCTTCATATAAAAACTAGACAGAAGCATTCTCAGAAACTACTTTGTGATGTGTGCATTCTACTCACATAGTTGAAATTTCCTTCTGATACTGCAGTTTTGAAACAGTCTTTTTGAGGGATCTTCAAGTGGGCATTTTGAGGGCTTTGGGGACTATTGTGGATAAGGAAATATCTTCATATGAAAAGTAGACAGAAGTGTTCTCAGAAACTTCATTTTGATGGGTGCATTCCACTAACAAAGTACAACCTTACTTTTATAGAGCAGTTTTGAAACAGTCTTTTTGTAGACTCTGCAAGTCGGTATTTGGAGCGCTTTGAAGCCTTCGTTGGAAACGGGAATATCTTCCCCTTGAAACCAGACAGAAGCATTCTCAGAAACTTCTTTGTGATGTGGGCATTGAACTCACGGAGCTGAACCTTCCTTTGGATTGAGCAGTTTTGAAAAACTCTTCCTTTATAATCTGCAGGTGGATATTTGGAGTGCTTTGAAGCCTTCTTTGGAAACGGGAGTATCGTCACATAAAAATAGACAGAAGTATTCTCAGAGACTTCTTTGTGATTTGTGCATTCAACTCACAGAGTTGAAGCTTCTTTTTGATAGAGCAGTTTTGAAACACCCTTTTTGCACAATCTGCAGGAGGATATTTGGAGCTCTTTGAGTGCTACATTGGAAACGGGAATATCGTCACCTAAAAACTAGAAAGAAGCATTCTCGGAAACCACTTTGTGATGTGTGCATTCATCTCACAGAGTTGAACCTTCCTTTTGATAGAGCAGTTTTGAAACCCTCTTTTTGTACACTCTGCAAGTGGATATTTGGAGCAAATTGAAGCCTTCTTTGGAAATGGGAATATCTTAAATCTAAAAATTAGGCGGAAGCATTCTCAGAAACTACTTTGTGATGTGTGCATTCAACTCACAGAATTGAACCTTCCTTTTGATACAGCAGTTTTGAAACACTCTTTGTTTAGAATCTGCAAGTGGATATTTGGAGCACATTTATGCCTGTGGTAGAAAAGGAAATATCTTCACATAAAAACTAGACAGAAGCATTCTCAGAAACGAATTAGTGTTGTGTGTATTCTACTCCCATAGTTGAAAATTTCTTTTGATAGAGCAGTCTGGAACCACTCTGTTTCTAAAATCTGCAAATGGACATTTGGAGCGCTTTGAAGGTTATGATGGAAAAGGGAATATCTTCGCATTAAAACTAGACAGAAGCATTCTCAGAAACTTCTTTGTGATGTGTGCATTCAACTCCCAGGTTGAACCTTTCTTTTGTTAGAGCAGTTTTGAAACACTCCTTTTGTAGAATCTGCAGGCGGATATTTAAGTACTCTTTGAAGCATTCTTTGGAAACGAGAATATCTTCACCTAAAACCTAGACAGAAGCATTCTCAGAAACATCTTTGTGATGTGTCCATTCATCTCACAGAGTTGATAGAACAGTTTTGATAGAGCAGTTTTGAAACACTCTTTTTAAAGGATCTGCCAGTTCATATGTGCAGTGCTTTGAGGCTTATGGTAGAAAAGGAAATATCTTCATATAAAAACTAGACAGAAGCATTCTCAGAAACGACATTGTGATGTGTGCATTCTACACACAAAGTTGAAACTTTTTTTTGATAGAGCAGTTTTGAAACAGTCTTTCCGAAGAATCTTCAAGTGGGCATTTCGAGGGCTTTGAGGACCATTGTGGATAAGGAAATATCTTCCCATAAGAAGTAGACAGAAGTATAATCAGAAACTTCATTTTGATGTGTACATTCAACTCACAAAGCAGACCCTTACTTTTGATAGAGAAGTTTTGAAACACTCTTTCTGTAGAATCTGCAATTGGATATTTGGAGCGCTTTCAGGCCTCTGGTAGAAAAGGAAATATCTTCACATAAAAACTAGACAGAAGCATTCTCAGAAACGACTTTGTGATGTGTGTATTCTACTCCCATAGTTGAACATTTCTTTTGATAGAGCCGCCTGGAAACAATCTTCTTGTAGAATCTGCAAGTGGACATTTGGAGCGTTTCGAAGGCTGTGGTTGAAAAGGTAATATCTTCACCTAAAAACTAAATGGAAGCATTGTCGGAAACTTTTTGTGATGTGTGCGTTCAACTCACAGAGCTGAACCTTCCTTTTCATAGACCAGTTTTGAATCACTCTTTTTGTAGGATCCGCATTTAGATATTTGGAGCGCTTTGAAGACTTCATTGGAATCGCGAATACCTTCACATAAAAACTAGACAGAACCATTCTCAGAAACTTCTTTGAGATGTGTGCATTCAACTCACAGAGTTGAACCTTTCTTTTGATAGTGCAGTTTTGAAACATTCTTTTTAAAAAATCTGCAGTTGGACATTTGGAGCTCTTTTAGGCTATCGGTTGAAAAGGAAATATCTTCACATTAAAACAAGACAGAAGCATTCTCAGAAACTCCTTTATGATGTCTGCATTCAACTCACAGAGTTGAACCTTCCTTTTCATAGAGCAGTTTTGAAACACTCTTTCTGTAGAATCTGGAGGCGGATATTAGGGTGCTTTGAAGCCTTCTTGGGAAACAGGATTATCTTCACATAAAAATTAGACAGAAGCATTCTCAGAAACTTCTTTGTGATGTGTGCATTCAACTCACAGCGTTGAAACTTCCTTTTGCCAGAGCAGTTTTGAAACCCTCTTTTTGAAGAATCTGAAAGTGCATAATTGCAGCACTTTGAGGCTTAAGGTCGAAAAGGAAATATCTTCATATAAAAACTAGACAGAAGCATTCTCAGAAACTACTTTGTGATGTGTGCATTCTACTCACATAGTTGAAATTTCCTTCTGATACTGCAGTTTTGAAACAGTCTTTTTGAGGGATCTTCAAGTGGGCATTTTGAGGGCTTTGGGGACTATTGTGGATAAGGAAATATCTTCACATGAAAAGTAGACAGAAGTGTTCTCAGAAACTTCATTTTGATGGGTGCATTCAACTAACAAGGTACAACCTTACTTTTATAGAGCAGTTTTGAAACGGTCTTTTTGTAGACTCTGCAAGTGGATATTTGGAGCGCTTTGAAGCCTTCGTTGGAAACGGGAATATCTTCCCCTTGAAACTAGACAGAAGCATTCTCAGAAACTTCTTTGTGATGTGGGCATTGAACTCACGGAGCTGAACCTTCCTTTGGATTGAGCAGTTTTGAAAAACTCTTCCTTTATAATCTGCAGGTGGATATTTGGAGTGCTTTGAAGCCTTCTTTGGAAACGGGAGTATCGTCACATAAAAATAGACAGAAGTATTCCCAGAAACTTCTTTGTGATTTGTGCATTCAACTCACAGAGTTGAAGCTTCTTTTTGATAGAGCAGTTTTGAAACACCCTTTTTGCACAATCTGCAGGAGGATATTTGGAGCTCTTTGAGTGCTACATTGGAAACGGGAATATCGTCACCTAAAAACTAGAAAGAAGCATTCTCTGAAACCACTTTGTGATGTGTGCATTCATCTCACAGAGTTGAACCTTCCTTTTCATAGAGCAGTTTTGAAACCCTCTTTTTGTACAATCTGCAAGTGGATATTTGGAGCAAATTGAAGCCTTCTTTGGAAATGGGAATATCTTAAATCTAAAAATTAGGCAGAAGCATTCTCAGAAACTACTTTGTGATGTGTGCATTCAACTCACAGAATTGAACCTTCCTTTTGATACAGCAGTTGTGAAACACTCTTTTTTTAGAATCAGCAAGTGGATATTTGGAGCACATTTATGCCTGTGGTAGAAAAGGAAATATCTTCACATAAAAACTAGACAGAAGCATTCTCAATAACGAATTAGTGTTGTGTGCCTTCTACTCCCATAGTTGAAAATTTCTTTTGATAGAGCAGTCTGGAACCACTCTGTTTCTAAAACCTGCAAATGGACATTTGGAGCGCTTTGAACGTTATGATGGAAAAGGGAATATCTTCGCATTAAAACTAGACAGAAGCATTCTCAGAAACTTCTTTGTGATGTGTGCATTCAAATCCCAGGTTGAACCTTTCTTTTATTAGAGCAGTTTTGAAACACTCCTTTTGTAGAATCTGCAGGCGGATATTTAAGTACTCTTTGAAGCATTCTTTGGAAACGAGAATATCTTCACCTAAAACCTAGACAGAAGCATTCTCAGAAAGATCTTTGTGATGTGTCCATTCATCTCACAGAGTTGATAGAACAGTTTTGATAGAGCAGTTTTGAAACACTCTTTTTAAAGAATCTGCCAGTTCATATGTGCAGTGCTTTGAGGCTTATGGTAGAAAAGGAAATATCTTCCTATAAAAACTAGACAGAAGCATTCTCAGAAACGACTTTGTGATGTGTGCATTCTACACACAAAGTTGAAACTTTCTTTTGATAGAGCAGTTTTGAAACCGTCTTTCCGAAGAATATTCAAGTGGGCATTTCGAGGGCTTTGAGGACCATTGCGGATAAGGAAATATCTTCCCATAAGAAGTAGACAGAAGTATAATCAGAAACTTCATTTTGATGTGTACATTCAACTCACAAAGCAGACCCTTACTTTTGATAGAGAAGTTTTGAAACACTCTTTTTGTAGAATCTGCAATTGGATATTTGGAGCGCTTTCAGGCCTCTGGTAGAAAAGGAAATATCTTCACATAAAAACTAGACAGAAGCATTCTCAGAAACGACTTTGTGATGTGTGTATTCTACTCCCATAGTTGAACATTTCTTTTGATAGAGCCGCCTGGAAACAATCTTCTTGTACAATCTGCAAGTGGACATTTGGAGCGTTTCGAAGGCTGTGGTTGAAAAGGTAATATCTTCACCTAAAAACTAAATGGAAGCATTGTCGGAAACTTTTTGTGATGTGTGTGTTCAACTCACAGAGCTGAACCTTCCTTTTCATAGACCAGTTTTGAATCACTCTTTTTGTAGGATCCGCATTTAGATATTTGGAGCGCTTTGAAGACTTCATTGGAATCGCGAATACCTTCACATAAAAACTAGACAGAACCATTCTCAGAAACTTCTTTGAGATGTGTGCATTCAACTCACAGAGCTGAACCTTTCTTTTGATAGTGCAGTGTTGAAACATTCTTTTTAAAAAATCTGCAGTTGGACATTTGGAGCTCTTTTAGGCTATCGGTTGAAAAGGAAATATCTTCACATTAAAACAAGACAGAAGCATTCTCAGAAACTCCTTTATGATGTCTGCATTCAACTCACAGAGTTGAACCTTCCTTTTGATAGAGCAGTTTTGAAACACTCTTTCTGTAGAATCTGGAGGCGGATATTAGGGTGCTTTGAAGCCTTCTTGGGAAACAGGATTATCTTCACATAAAAATTAGACAGAAGCATTCTCAGAAACTTCTTTGTGATGTGTGCATTCAACTCACAGCGTTGAAACTTCCTTTTGCCAGAGCAGTTTTGAAACCCTCTTTTTGAAGAATCTGAAAGTGCATAATTGCAGCACTTTGAGGCTTAAGGTCGAAAAGGAAATATCTTCATATAAAAACTAGACAGAAGCATTCTCAGAAACTACTTTGTGATGTGTGCATTCTACTCACATAGTTGAAATTTCCTTCTGATACTGCAGTTTTGAAACAGTCTTTTTGAGGGATCTTCAAGTGGGCATTTTGAGGGCTTTGGGGACTATTGTGGATAAGGAAATATCTTCACATGAAAAGTAGACAGAAGTGTTCTCAGAAACTTCATTTTGATGGGTGCATTCCACTAACAAAGTACAACCTTACTTTTATAGAGCAGTTTTGAAACAGTCTTTTTGTAGACTCTGCAAGCGGATATTTGGAGCGCTTTGAAGCCTTCGTTGGAAACGGGAATATCTTCCCCTTGAAACCAGACAGAAGCATTCTCAGAAACTTCTTTGTGATGTGGGCATTGAACTCACGGAGCTGAACCTTCCTTTGGATTGAGCAGTTTTGAAAAACTCTTCCTTTATAATCTGCAGGTGGATATTTGGAGTGCTTTGAAGCCTTCTTTGGAAACGGGAGTATCGTCACATAAAAATAGACAGAAGTATTCCCAGAAATTTCTTTGTGACTTGTGCATTCAACTCACAGAGTTGAAGCTTCTTTTTGATAGAGCAGTTTTGAAACACCCTTTTTGCACAATCTGCAGGAGGATATTTGGAGCTCTTTGAGTGCTACATTGGAAACGGGAATATCGTCACCTGAAAACTAGAAAGAAGCATTCTCTGAAGCCACTTTGTGATGTGTGCATTCATCTCACAGAGTTGAACCTTCCTTTTGATAGAGCAGTTTTGAAACCCTCTTTTTGTACAATCTGCAAGTGGATATTTGGAGCAAATAGAAGCCTTCTTTGGAAATGGGAATATCTTAAATCTAAAAATTAGGCAGAAGCATTCTCAGAAACTACTTTGTGATGTGTGCATTCAACTCACAGAATTGAACCTTCCTTTTGATACAGCAGTTTTGAAACACTCTTTGTTTAGAATCTGCAAGTGGATATTTGGAGCACATTTATGCCTGTGGTAGAAAAGGAAATATCTTCACATAAAAACTAGACAGAAGCATTCTCAGAAACGAATTTGTGTTGTGTGCATTCTACTCCCATAGTTGAAAATTTCTTTTGATAGAGCAGTCTGGAACCACTCTGTTTCTAAAATCTGCAAATGGACATTTGGAGCGCTTTGAAGGTTATGATGGAAAAGGGAATATCTTCGCATTAAAACTAGACAGAAGCATTCTCAGAAACTTCTTTGTGATGTGTGCATTCAACTCCCAGGTTGAACCTTTCTTTTGTTAGAGCAGTTTTGAAACACTCCTTTTGTAGAATCTGCAGGCGGATATTTAAGTACTCTTTGAAGCATTCTTTGGAAACGAGAATATCTTCACCTAAAACCTAGACAGAAGCATTCTCAGAAAGATCTTTGTGATGTGTCCATTCATCTCACAGAGTTGATAGAACAGTTTTGATAGAGCAGTTTTGAAACACTCTTTTTAAAGAATCTGCCAGTTCATATGTGCAGTGCTTTGAGGCTTATGGCAGAAAAGGAAATATCTTCATATAAAAACTAGACAGAAGCATTCTCAGAAACGACTTTGTGATGTGTGCATTCTACACACAAAGTTGAAACTTTCTTTTGATAGAGCAGTTTTGAAACCGTCTTTCCGAAGAATCTTCAAGTGGGCATTTCGAGGGCTTTGAGGACCATTGCGGATAAGGAAATATCTTCCCATAAGAAGTAGACAGAAGTATAATCAGAAACTTCATTTTGATGTGTACATTCAACTCACAAAGCAGACCCTTACTTTTGATAGAGAAGTTTTGAAACAGTCTTTTTGTAGAATCTGCAATTGGATATTTGGAGCGCTTTCAGGCCTCTGGTAGAAAAGGAAATATCTTCACATAAAAACTAGACAGAAGCATTCTCAGAAACGACTTTGTGATGTGTGTATTCTACTCCCATAGTTGAACATTTCTTTTGATAGAGCCGCCTGGAAACAATCTTCTTGTAGAATCTGCAAGTGGACATTTGGAGCGTTTCGAAGTCTGTGGTTGAAAAGGTAATATCTTCACCTAAAAACTAAATGGAAGCATTGTCCGAAACTTTTTGTGATGTGTGCGTTCAACTCACAGAGCTGAACCTTCCTTTTCATAGACCAGTTTTGAATCACTCTTTTTGTAGAATCCGCATTTAGATATTTGGAGCGCTTTGAAGACTTCATTGGAATCGCGAATACCTTCACATAAAAACTAGACAGAACCATTCTCAGAAACTTCTTTGAGATGTGTGCATTCAACTCACAGAGCTGAACCTTTCGTTTGATAGTGCAGTTTTGAAACATTCTTTTTAAAAAATCTGCAGTTGGACATTTGGAGCTCTTTTAGGCTATCGGTTGAAAAGGAAATATCTTCACATTAAAACAAGACAGAAGCATTCTCAGAAACTCCTTTATGATGTCTGCATTCAACTCACAGAGTTGAACCTTCCTTTCCATAGAGCAGTTTTGAAACACTCTTTCTGTAGAATCTGGAGACAGATATTAGGGTGCTTTGAAGCCTTCTTGGGAAACAGGATTATCTTCACATAAAAATTAGACAGAAGCATTCTCAGAAACTTCTTTGTGATGTGTGCATTCAACTCACAGCGTTGAAACTTCCTTTTGCCAGAGCAGTTTTGAAACCCTCTTTTTGAAGAATCTGAAAGTGCATAATTGCAGCACTTTGAGGCTTAAGGTCGAAAAGGAAATATCTTCATATAAAAACTAGACAGAAGCATTCTCAGAAACTACTTTGTGATGTGTGCATTCTACTCACATAGTTGAAATTTCCTTCTGATACTGCAGTTTTGAAACAGTCTTTTTGAGGGATCTTCAAGTGGGCATTTTGAGGGCTTTGGGGACTATTGTGGATAAGGAAATATCTTCACATGAAAAGTAGACAGAAGTGTTCTCAGAAACTTCATTTTGATGGGTGCATTCCACTAACAAAGTACAACCTTACTTTTATAGAGCAGTTTTGAAACAGTCTTTTTGTAGACTCTGCAAGCGGATATTTGGAGCGCTTTGAAGCCTTCGTTGGAAACGGGAATATCTTCCCCTTGAAACCACACAGAAGCATTCTCAGAAACTTCTTTGTGATGTGGGCATTGAACTCACGGAGCTGAACCTTCCTTTGGATTGAGCAGTTTTGACAAACTCTTCCTTTATAATCTGCAGGTGGATATTTGGAGTGCTTTGAAGCCTTTTTGGAAACGGGAGTATCGTCACATAAAAATAGACAGAAGTATTCCCAGAAACTTCTTTGTGATTTGTGCATTCAACTCACAGAGTTGAAGCTTCTTTTTGATAGAGCAGTTTTGAAACACCCTTTTTGCACAATCTGCAGGAGGATATTTGGAGCTCTTTGAGTGCTACATTGGAAACGGGAATATCGTCACCTGAAAACTAGAAAGAAGCATTCTCTGAAACCACTTTGTGATGTGTGCATTCATCTCACAGAGTTGAACCTTCCTTTTGATAGAGCAGTTTTGAAACCCTCTTTTTGTACAATCTGCAAGTGGATATTTGGAGCAAATTGAAGCCTTCTTTGGAAATGGGAATATCTTAAATCTAAAAATTAGGCAGAAGCATTCTCAGAAACTACTTTGTGATGTGTGCATTCAACTCACAGAATTGAAACTTCCTTTTGATACAGCAGTTTTGAAACACTCTTTTTTTAGAATCTGCAAGTGGATATTTGGAGCACATTTATGCCTGTGGTAGAAAAGGAAATATCTTCACATAAAAATTAGACAGAAGCATTCTCAGAAACGAATTTGTGTTGTGTGCATTCTACTCCCATAGTTGAAAATTTCTTTTGATAGAGCAGTCTGGAAACACTCTGTTTCTAAAATCTGCAAATGGACATTTGGAGCGCTTTGAAGGTTATGATGGAAAAGGGAATATCTTCGCATTAAAACTAGACAGAAGCATTCTCAGAAACTTCTTTGTGATGTGTGCATTCAACTCCCAGGTTGAACCTTTCTTTTGTTAGAGCAGTTTTGAAACACTCCTTTTGTAGAATCTGCAGGCGGATATTTAAGTACTCTTTGAAGCATTCTTTGGAAACGAGAATATCTTCACCTAAAACCTAGACAGAAGCATTCTCAGAAACATCTTTGTGATGTGTCCATTCATCTCACAGAGTTGATAGAACAGTTTTGATAGAGCAGTTTTGAAACACTCTTTTTAAAGAATCTGCCAGTTCATATGTGCAGTGCTTTGAGGCTTATGGTAGAAAAGGAAATATCTTCATATAAAAACTAGACAGAAGCATTCTCAGAAACGACTTTGTGATGTGTACATTCTACACACAAAGTTGAAACTTTCTTTTGATAGAGCAGTTTTGAAACCGTCTTTCCGAAGAATCTTCAAGTGGGCATTTCGAGGGCTTTGAGGACCATTGCGGATAAGGAAATATCTTCCCATAAGAAGTAGACAGATGTATAATCAGAAACTTCATTTTGATGTGTACATTCAACTCACAAAGCAGACCCTTACTTTTGATAGAGAAGTTTTGAAACACTCTTTTTGTAGAATCTGCAATTGGATGTTTGGAGCGCTTTCAGGCCTCTGGTAGAAAAGGAAATATCTTCACATAAAAACTAGACAGAAGCATTCTCAGAAACGACTTTGTGATGTGTGTATTCTACTCCCATAGTTGAACATTTCTTTTGATAGAGCCGCCTGGAAACAATCTTCTTGTAGAATCTGCCAGTGGACATTTGGAGCGTTTCGAATGCTGTGGTTGAAAAGGTAATATCTTCACCTAAAAACTAAATGGAAGCATTGTCCGAAACGTTTTGTGATGTGTGCGTTCAACTCACAGAGCTGAACCTTCCTTTTCATAGACCAGTTTTGAATCACTCTTTTTGTAGAATCCGCATTTAGATATTTGGAGCGCTTTGAAGACTTCATTGGAATCGCGAATACCTTCACATAAAAACTAGACAGAACCATTCTCAGAAACTTCTTTGAGATGTGTGCATTCAACTCACAGAGCTGACCCTTTCTTTTGATAGTGCAGTTTTGAAACATTCTTTTTAAAAAATCTGCAGTTGGACATTTGGAGCTCTTTTAGGCTATCGGTTGAAAAGGAAATATCTTCACATTAAAACAAGACAGAAGCATTCTCAGAAACTCCTTTATGATGTCTGCATTCAACTCACAGAGTTGAACCTTCCTTTCCATAGAGCAGTTTTGAAACACTCTTTCTGTAGAATCTGGAGGCGGATATTAGGGTGCTTTGAAGCTTTCTTGGGAAACAGGATTATCTTCACATAAAAATTAGACAGAAGCATTCTCAGAAACTTCTTTGTGATGTGTGCATTCAACTCACAGCGTTGAAACTTCCTTTTGCCAGAGCAGTTTTGAAACCCTCTTTTTGAAGAATCTGAAAGTGCATAATTGCAGCACTTTGAGGCTTAAGGTCGAAAAGGAAATATCTTCATATAAAAACTAGACAGAAGCATTCTCAGAAACTACTTTGTGATGTGTGCATTCTACTCACATAGTTGAAATTTCCTTCTGATACTGCAGTTTTGAAACAGTCTTTTTGAGGGATCTTCAAGTGGGCATTTTGAGGGCTTTGGGGACTATTGTGGATAAGGAAATATCTTCACATGAAAAGTAGACAGAAGTGTTCTCAGAAACTTCATTTTGATGGGTGCATTCCACTAACAAAGTACAACCTTACTTTTATAGAGCAGTTTTGAAACAGTCTTTTTGTAGACTCTGCAAGCGGATATTTGGAGCGCTTTGAAGCCTTCGTTGGAAACGGGAATATCTTCCCCTTGAAACCACACAGAAGCATTCTCAGAAACTTCTTTGTGATGTGGGCATTGAACTCACGGAGCTGAACCTTCCTTCGGATTGAGCAGTTTTGAAAAACTCTTCCTTTATAATCTGCAGGTGGATATTTGGAGTGCTTTGAAGCCTTCTTTGGAAACGGGAGTATCGTCACATAAAAATAGACAGAAGTATTCCCAGAAACTTCTTTGTGATTTGTGCATTCAACTCACAGAGTTGAAGCTTCTTTTTGATAGAGCAGTTTTGAAACACCCTTTTTGCACAATCTGCAGGAGGATATTTGGAGCTCTTTGAGTGCTACATTGGAAACGGGAATATCGTCACCTGAAAAGTAGAAAGAAGCATTCTCTGAAACCACTTTGTGATGTGTGCATTCATCTCACAGAGTTGAACCTTCCTTTTGATAGAGCAGTTTTGAAACCCTCTTTTTGTACAATCTGCAAGTGGATATTTGGAGCAAATTGAAGCCTTCTTTGGAAATGGGAATATCTTAAATCTAAAAATTAGGCAGAAGCATTCTCAGAAACTACTTTGTGATGTGTGCATTCAACTCACAGAATTGAACCTTCCTTTTGATACAGCAGTTTTGAAACACTCTTTGTTTAGAATCTGCAAGTGGATATTTGGAGCACATTTATGCCTGTGGTAGAAAAGGAAATATCTTCACATAAAAACTAGACAGAAGCATTCTCAGAAACGAATTTGTGTTGTGTGCCTTCTACTCCCATAGTTGAAAATTTCTTTTGATAGAGCAGTCTGGAACCACTCTGTTTGTAAAATCTGCAAATAGACATTTGGAGCGCTTTGAAGGTTATGATGGAAAAGGGAATATCTTCGCATTAAAACTAGACAGAAGCATTCTCAGAAACTTCTTTGTGATGTGTGCATTCAACTCCCAGGTTGAACCTTTCTTTTGTTAGAGCAGTTTTGAAACACTCCTTTTGTAGAATCTGCAGGCGGATATTTAAGTACTCTTTGAAGCATTCTTTGGAAACGAGAATATCTTCACCTAAAACCTAGACATAAGCATTCTCAGAAACATCTTTGTGATGTGTCCATTCATCTCACAGAGTTGATAGAACAGTTTTGATAGAGCAGTTTTGAAACACTCTTTTTAAAGAATCTGCCAGTTCATATGTAGAGTGCTTTGAGGCTTATGGTAGAAAAGGAAATATCTTCATATAAAAACTAGACAGAAGCATTCTCAGAAACGACTTTGTGATGTGTGCATTCTACACACAAAGTTGAAACTTTCTTTTGATAGAGCAGTTTTGAAACCGTCTTTCCGAAGAATCTTCAAGTGGGCATTTCGAGGGCTTTGAGGACCATTGCGGATAAGGAAATATCTTCCCATAAGAAGTAGACAGAAGTATAATCAGAAACTTCATTTTGATGTGTACATTCAACTCACAAAGCAGACCCTTACTTTTGATAGAGAAGTTTTGAAACACTCTTTTTGTAGAATCTGCAATTGGATATTTGGAGCGCTTTCAGGCCTCTGGTAGAAAAGGAAATATCTTCACATAAAAACTAGACAGAAGCATTCTCAGAAACGACTTTGTGATGTGTGTATTCTACTCCCATAGTTGAACATTTCTTTTGATAGAGCCGCCTGGAAACAATCTTCTTGTAGAATCTGCAAGTGGACATTTGGAGCGTTTCGAAGGCTGTGGTTGAAAAGGTAATATCTTCACCTAAAAACTAAATGGAAGCATTGTCGGAAACTTTTTGTGATGTGTGCGTTCAACTCACAGAGCTGAACCTTCCTTTTCATAGACCAGTTTTGAATCACTCTTTTTGTAGGATCCGCATTTAGATATTTGGAGCGCTTTGAAGACTTCATTGGAATCGCGAATACCTTCACATAAAAACTAGACAGAACCATTCTCAGAAACTTCTTTGAGATGTGTGCATTCAACTCACAGAGTTGAACCTTTCTTTTGATAGTGCAGTTTTGAAACATTCTTTTTAAAAAATCTGCAGTTGGATATTTGGAGCTCTTTTAGGCTATCGGTTGAAAAGGAAATATCTTCACATTAAAACAAGACAGAAGCATTCTCAGAAACTCCTTTATGATGTCTGCATTCAACTCACAGATTTGAAACTTCCTTTTGATAGAGCAGTTTTGAAACACTCTTTCTGTAGAATCTGGAGGCGGATATTAGGGTGCTTTGAAGCCTTCTTGGGAAACAGGATTATCTTCACATAAAAATTAGACAGAAGCATTCTCAGAAACTTCTTTGTGATGTGTGCATTCAACTCACAGCGTTGAAACTTCCTTTTGCCAGAGCAGTTTTGAAACCCTCTTTTTGAAGAATCTGAAAGTGCATAATTGCAGCACTTTGAGGCTTAAGGTCGAAAAGGAAATATCTTCATATAAAAACTAGACAGAAGCATTCTCAGAAACTACTTTGTGATGTGTGCATTCTACTCACATAGTTGAAATTTCCTTCTGATGCTGCAGTTTTGAAACAGTATTTTTGAGGGATCTTCAAGTGGGCATTTTGAGGGCTTTGGGGACTATTGTGGATAAGGAAATATCTTCACATGAAAAGTAGACAGAAGTGTTCTCAGAAACTTCATTTTGATGGGTGCATTCCACTAACAAAGTACAACCTTACTTTTATAGAGCAGTTTTGAAACAGTCTTTTTGTAGACTCTGCAAGTGGATATTTGGAGCGCTTTGAAGCCTTCGTTGGAAACGGGAATATCTTCCCCTTGAAACTAGACAGAAGCATTCTCAGAAACTTCTTTGTGATGTGGGCATTGAACTCACGGATCTGAACCTTCCTTTGGATTGAGCAGTTTTGAAAAACTCTTCCTTTATAATCTGCAGGTGGATATTTGGAGTGCTTTGAAGCCTTCTTTGGAAACGGGAGTATCGTCACATAAAAATAGACAGAAGTATTCCCAGAAACTTCTTTGTGATTTGTGCATTCAACTCACAGAGTTGAAGCTTCTTTTTGATAGAGCAGTTTTGAAACACCCTTTTTGCACAATCTGCAGGAGGATATTTGGAGCTCTTTGAGTGCTACATTGGAAACGGGAATATCGTCACCTAAAAACTAGAAAGAAGCATTCTCTGAAACCACTTTGTGATGTGTGCATTCATCTCACAGAGTTGAACCTTCCTTTTGATAGAGCAGTTTTGAAACCCTCTTTTTGTACAATCTGCAAGTGGATATTTGGAGCAAATTGAAGCCTTCTTTGGAAATGGGAATATCTTAAATCTAAAAATTAGGCAGAAGCATTCTCAGAAACTACTTTGTGATGTGTGCATTCAACTCACAGAATTGAACCTTCCTTTTGATACAGCAGTTTTGAAACACTCTTTTTTCAGAATCTGCAAGTGGATATTTGGAGCACATTTATGCCTGTGGTAGAAAAGGAAATATCTTCACATAAAAACTAGACAGAAGCATTCTCAGAAACGAATTTGTGTTGTGTGCATTCTACTCCCATAGTTGAAAATTTCTTTTGATAGAGCAGTCTGGAACCACTCTGTTTCTAAAATCTGCAAATGGACATTTGGAGCGCTTTGAAGGTTATGATGGAAAAGGGAATATCTTCGCATTAAAACTAGACAGAAGCATTCTCAGAAACTTCTTTGTGATGTGTGCATTCAACTCCCAGGTTGAACCTTTCTTTTGTTAGAGCAGTTTTGAAACACTCCTTTTGTAGAATCTGCAGGCGGATATTTAAGTACTCTTTGAAGCATTCTTTGGAAACGAGAATATCTTCACCTAAAACCTAGACAGAAGCATTCTCAGAAACATCTTTGTGATGTGTCCATTCATCTCACAGAGTTGATAGAACAGTTTTGATAGAGCAGTTTTGAAACACTCTTTTTAAAGAATCTGCCAGTTCATATGTGCAGTGCTTTGAGGCTTATGGTAGAAAAGGAAATATCTTCCTATAAAAACTAGACAGAAGCATTCTCAGAAACGACTTTGTGATGTGTGCATTCTACACACAAAGTTGAAACTTTCTTTTGATAGAGCAGTTTCGAAACAGTCTTTCCGAAGAATCTTCAAGTGGGCATTTCGAGGGCTTTGAGGACCATTGCGGATAAGGAAATATCTTCCCATAAGAAGTAGACAGAAGTATAATCAGAAACTTCATTTTGATGTGTACATTCAACTCACAAAGCAGACCCTTACTTTTGATAGAGAAGTTTTGAAACACTCTTTTTGTAGAATCTGCAATTGGATGTTTGGAGCGCTTTCAGGCCTCTGGTAGAAAAGGAAATATCTTCACATAAAAACTAGACAGAAGCATTCTCAGAAACGACTTTGTGATGTGTGTATTCTACTCCCATAGTTGAACATTTCTTTTGATAGAGCCGCCTGGAAGCAATCTTCTTGTAGAATCTGCAAGTGGACATTTGGAGCGTTTTGAAGACTGTGGTTGAAAAGGTAATATCTTCACCTAAAAACTAAATGGAAGCATTGTCCGAAACGTTTTGTGATGTGTGCGTTCAACTCACAGAGCTGAACCTTCCTTTTCATAGACCAGTTTTGAATCACTCTTTTTGTAGAATGCGCATTTAGATATTTGGAGCGCTTTGAAGACTTCATTGGAATCGCGAATACCTTCACATAAAAACTAGACAGAACCATTCTCAGAAACTTCTTTGAGATGTGTGCATTCAACTCACAGAGCTGAACCTTTCTTTTGATAGTGCAGTTTTGAAACATTCTTTTTAAAAAATCTGCAGTTGGACATTTGGAGCTCTTTTAGGCTATCGGTTGAAAAGGAAATATCTTCACATTAAAACAAGACAGAAGCATTCTCAGAAACTCCTTTATGATGTCTGCATTCAACTCACAGAGTTGAACCTTCCTTTCCATAGAGCAGTTTTGAAACACTCTTTCTGTAGAATCTGGAGGCGGATATTAGGGTGCTTTGAAGCCTTCTTGGGAAACAGGATTATCTTCACATAAAAATTAGACAGAACTATTCTCAGAAACTTCTTTGTGATGTGTGCATTCAACTCACAGCGTTGAAACTTCCTTTTGATAGTGCAGTTTTGAAACATTCTTTTTGAAGGATCTGAAAGTGCATAATTGCAGCACTTTGAGGCTTAAGGTCGAAAAGGAAATATCTTCATATAAAAACTAGACAGAAGCATTCTCAGAAACTCCTTTATGATGTCTGCATTCTACTCACATAGTTGAACCTTCCTTTTGATAGAGCACTTTTGAAACACTCTTTCTGTAGAATCTGGAGGCGGATATTAGGGTGCTTTGAAGCCTTCTTGGGAAACAGGATTATCTTCACATAAAAATTAGACAGAAGCATTCTCAGAAACTTCTTTGTGATGTGTGCATTCAACTCACAGCGTTGAACCTTCCTTTTGCCAGAGCAGTTTTGAAACCCTCTTTTTGAAGAATCTGAAAGTGCATAATTGCAGCACTTTGAGGCTTAAGGTCGAAAAGGAAATATCTTCATATAAAAACTAGAGAGAAGCATTCTCAGAAACTACTTTGTGATGTGTGCATTCTACTCACATAGTTGAAATTTCCTTCTGATACTGCAGTTTTGAAACAGTCTTTTTGAGGGATCTTCAAGTGGGCATTTTGAGGGCTTTGGGGACTATTGTGGATAAGGAAATATCTTCACATGAAAAGTAGACAGAAGTGTTCTCAGAAACTTCATTTTGATGGGTGCATTCCACTAACAAAGGACAACCTTACTTTTATAGAGCAGTTTTGAAACAGTCTTTTTGTAGACTCTGCAAGTGGATATTTGGAGCGCTTTGAAGCCTTCGTTGGAAACGGGAATATCTTCCCCTTGAAACTAGACAGAAGCATTCTCAGAAACTTCTTTGTGATGTGGGCATTGAACTCACGGAGCTGAACCTTCCTTTGGATTGAGCAGTTTTGAAAAACTCTTCCTTTATAATCTGCAGGTGGATATTTGGAGTGCTTTGAAGCCTTCTTTGGAAACGGGAGTATCGTCACATAAAAATAGACAGAAGTATTCCCAGAAACTTCTTTGTGATTTGTGCATTCAACTGACAGAGTTGAAGCTTCTTTTTGATAGAGCAGTTTTGAAACACCCTTTTTGCACAATCTGCAGGAGGATATTTGGAGCTCTTTGAGTGCTACATTGGAAACGGGAATATCGTCACCTAAAAACTAGAAAGAAGCATTCTCTGAAACCACTTTGTGATGTGTGCATTCATCTCACAGAGTTGAACCTTCCTGTTGATAGAGCAGTTTTGAAACCCTCTTTTTGTACAATCTGCAAGTGGATATTTGGAGCAAATTGAAGCCTTCTTTGGAAATGGGAATATCTTAAAACTAAAAATTAGGCAGAAGCATTCTCAGAAACTGCTTTGTGATGTGTGCATTCAACTCACAGAATTGAACCTTCCTTTTGATACAGCAGTTTTGAAACACTCTTTTTTCAGAATCTGCAAGTGGATATTTGGAGCACATTTATGCCTGTGGTAGAAAAGGAAATATCTTCACATAAAAACTAGACAGAAGCATTCTCAGAAACGAATTTGTGTTGTGTGCATTCTACTCCCATAGTTGAAAATTTCTTTTGATAGAGCAGTCTGGAGACACTCTGTTTCTAAAATCTGCAAATGGACATTTGGAGCGCTTTGAAGGTTATGATGGAAAAGGGAATATCTTCGCATTAAAACTAGACAGAAGCATTCTCAGAAACTTCTTTGTGATGTGTGCATTCAACTCCCAGGTTGAACCTTTCTTTTGTTAGAGCAGTTTTGAAACACTCCTTTTGTAGAATCTGCAGGTGGATATTGAAGTACTCTTTGAAGCATTCTTTGGAAACGAGAATATCTTCACCTAAAACCTAGACATAATCATTCTCAGAAACATCTTTGTGATGTGTCCATTCATCTCACAGAGTTGATAGAACAGTTTTGATAGAACAGTTTTGAAACACTCTTTTTAAAGAATCTGCCAGTTCATATGTGCAGTGCTTTGAGGCTTATGGTAGAAAAGGAAATATCTTCATATAAAAACTAGACAGAAGCATTCTCAGAAACGACTTTGTGATGTGTGCATTCTACACACAAAGTTGAAACTTTCTTTTGATAGAGCAGTTTTGAAACCGTCTTTCCGAAGAATCTTCAAGTGGGCATTTCGAGGGCTTTGAGGACCATTGCGGATAAAGAAATATCTTCCCATAAGAAGTAGACAGAAGTATAATCAGAAACTTCATTTTGATGTGTACATTCAACTCACAAAGCACACCCTTACTTTTGATAGAGAAGTTTTGAAACAGTCTTTTTGTAGAATCTGCAATTGGATATTTGGAGCGCTTTCAGGCCTCTGGTAGAAAAAGAAATATCTTCACATAAAAACTAGACAGAAGCATTCTCAGAAACGACTTTGTGATGTGTGTATTCTACTCCCATAGTTGAACATTTCTTTTGATAGAGCCGCCTGGAAACAATCTTCTTGTATAATCTGCAAGTGGACATTTGGAGCGTTTCGAAAGCTGTGGTTGAAAAAGTAATATCTTCACCTAAAAACTAAATGGAAGCATTGTCCGAAACGTTTTGTGATGTGTGCGTTCAACTCACAGAGCTGAACCTTCCTTTTCATAGACCAGTTTTGAATCACTCTTTTTGTAGAATCCGCATTTAGATATTTGGAGCACTTTGAAGACTTCATTGGAATCGCGAATACCTTCACATAAAAACTAGACAGAACCATTCTCAGAAACTTCTTTGAGATGTGTGCATTCAACTCACAGAGCTGAACCTTTCTTTTGATAGTGCAGTTTTGAAACATTCTTTTTAAAAAATCTGCAGTTGGACATTTGGAGCTCTTTTAGGCTATCGGTTGAAAAGGAAATATCTTCACATTAAAACAAGACAGAAGCATTCTCAGAAACTCCTTTATGATGTCTGCATTCAACTCACAGAGTTGAACCTTCCTTTTGATAGAGCAGTTTTGAAACACTCTTTCTGTAGAATCTGGAGGCGGATATTAGGGTGCTTTGAAGCCTTCTTGGGAAACAGGATTATCTTCACATAAAAATTAGACAGAAGCATTCTCAGAAACTTCTTTGTGATGTGTGCATTCAACTCACAGCGTTGAAACTTCCTTTTGCCAGAGCAGTTTTGAAACCCTCTTTTTGAAGAATCTGAAAGTGCATAATTGCAGCACTTTGAGGCTTAAGGTCGAAAAGGAAATATCTTCATATAAAAACTAGACAGAAGCATTCTCAGAAACTACTTTGTGATGTGTGCATTCTACTCACATAGTTGAAATTTCCTTCTGATACTGCAGTTTTGAAACAGTCTTTTTGAGGGATCTTCAAGTGGGCATTTTGAGGGCTTTGGGGACTATTGTGGATAAGGAAATATCTTCACATGAAAAGTAGACAGAAGTGTTCTCAGAAACTTCATTTTGATGGGTGCATTCCACTAACAAAGTACAACCTTACTTTTATAGAGCAGTTTTGAAACAGTCTTTTTGTAGACTCTGCAAGTGGATATTTGGAGCGCTTTGAAGCCTTCGTTGGAAACGGGAATATCTTCCCCTTGAAACCAGACAGAAGCATTCTCAGAAACTTCTTTGTGATGTGGGCATTGAACTCACGGAGCTGAACCTTCCTTTGGATTGAGCAGTTTTGAAAAACTCTTCCTTTATAATCTGCAGGTGGATATTTGGAGTGCTTTGAAGCCTTCTTTGGAAACGGGAGTATCGACACATAAAAATAGACAGAAGTATTCCCAGAAACTTCTTTGTGATTTGTGCATTCAACTCACAGAGTTGAAGCTTCTTTTTGATAGAGCAGTTTTGAAACACCCTTTTTGCACAATCTGCAGGAGGATATTTGGAGCTCTTTGAGTGCTACATTGGAAACGGGAATATCGTCACCTAAAAACTAGAAAGAAGCATTCTCGGAAACCACTTTGTGATGTGTGCATTCATCTCACAGAGTTGAACCTTCCTTTTGATAGAGCAGTTTTGAAACCCTCTTTTTGTACAATCTGCAAGTGGATATTTGGAGCAAATTGAAGCCTTCTTTGGAAATGGGAATATCTTAAATCTAAAAATTAGGCAGAAGCATTCTCAGAAACTACTTTGTGATGTGTGCATTCAACTCACAGAATTGAACCTTCCTTTTGATACAGCAGTTTTGAAACACTCTTTGTTTAGAATCTGCAAGTGGATATTTGGAGCACATTTATGCCTGTGGTAGAAAAGGAAATATCTTCACATAAAAACTAGACAGAAGCATTCTCAGAAACGAATTTGTGTTGTGTGCATTCTACTCCCATAGTTGAAAATTTCTTTTGATAGAGCAGTCTGGAAACACTCTGTTTCTAAAATCTGCAAATGGACATTTGGAGCGCTTTGAAGGTTATGATGGAAAAGGGAATATCTTCGCATTAAAACTAGACAGAAGCATTCTCAGAAACTTCTTTGTGATGTGTGCATTCAACTCCCAGGTTGAACCTTTCTTTTCTTAGAGCAGTTTTGAAACACTCCTTTTGTAGAATCTGCAGGCGGATATTTAAGTACTCTTTGAAGCATTCTTTGGAAACGAGAATATCTTCACCTAAAACCTAGACAGAAGCATTCTCAGAAACATCTTTGTGATGTGTCCATTCATCTCACAGAGTTGATAGAACAGTTTTGATAGAGCAGTTTTGAAACACTCTTTTTAAAGAATCTGCCAGTTCATATGTGCAGTGATTTGGGGCTTATGGTAGAAAAGGAAATATCTTCCTATAAAAACTAGACAGAAGTATTCTCAGAAACGACTTTGTGATGTGTGCATTCTACACACAAAGTTGAAACTTTCTTTTGATAGAGCAGTTTTGAAACAGTCTTTCCGAAGAATCTTCAAGTGGGCATTTCGAGGGCTTTGAGGACCATTGCGGATAAGGAAATATCTTCCCATAAGAAGTAGACAGAAGTATAATCAGAAACTTCATTTTGATGTGTACATTCAACTCACAAAGCAGACCCTTACTTTTGATAGAGAAGTTTTGAAACACTCTTTTTGTAGAATCTGCAATTGGATGTTTGGAGCGCTTTCAGGCCTCTGGTAGAAAAGGAAATATCTTCACATAAAAACTAGACAGAAGCATTCTCAGAAACGACTTTGTGATGTGTGTATTCTACTCCCATAGTTGAACATTTCTTTTGATAGAGCCGCCTGGAAGCAATCTTCTTGTAGTATCTGCAAGTGGACATTTGGAGCGTTTTGAAGGTTGTGGTTGAAAAGGTAATATCTTCACCTAAAAACTAAATGGAATCATTGTCCGAAACGTTTTGTGATGTGTGCGTTCAACTCACAGAGCTGAACCTTCCTTTTCATAGACCAGTTTTGAATCACTCTTTTTGTAGAATCCGCATTTAGATATTTGGAGCGCTTTGAAGACTTCATTGGAATCGCGAATACCTTCACATAAAAACTAGACAGAACCATTCTCAGAAACTTCTTTGAGATGTGTGCATTCAACTCACAGAGCTGAACCTTTCTTTTGATAGTGCAGTTTTGAAACATTCTTTTTAAAAAATCTGCAGTTGGACATTTGGAGCTCTTTTAGGCTATCGGTTGAAAAGGAAATATCTTCACATTAAAACAAGACAGAAGCATTCTCAGAAACTCCTTTATGATGTCTGCATTCAACTCACAGAGTTGAACCTTCCTTTCCATAGAGCAGTTTTGAAACACTCTTTCTGTAGAATCTGGAGGCGGATATTAGGGTGCTTTGAAGCCTTCTTGGGAAACAGGATTATCTTCACATAAAAATTAGACAGAAGCATTCTCAGAAACTTCTTTGTGATGTGTGCATTCAACTCACAGCGTTGAAACTTCCTTTTGCCAGAGCAGTTTTGAAACCCTCTTTTTGAAGGATCTGAAAGTGCATAATTGCAGCACTTTGAGGCTTAAGGTCGAAAAGGAAATATCTTCATATAAAAACTAGACAGAAGCATTCTCAGAAACTACTTTGTGATGTGTGCATTCTACTCACATAGTTGAAATTTCCTTCTGATACTGCAGTTTTGAAACAGTCTTTTTGAGGGATCTTCAAGTGGGCATTTTGAGGGCTTTCGGGACTATTGTGGATAAGGAAATATCTTCACATGAAAAGTAGACAGAAGTGTTCTCAGAAACTTCATTTTGATGGGTGCATTCCACTAACAAAGTACAACCTTACTTTTATAGAGCAGTTTTGAAACAGTCTTTTTGTAGACTCTGCAAGTGGATATTTGGAGCGCTTTGAAGCCTTCGTTGGAAACGGGAATATCTTCCCCTTGAAACCAGACAGAAGCATTCTCAGAAACTTCTTTGTGATGTGGGCATTGAACTCACGGAGCTGAACCTTCCTTTGGATTGAGCAGTTTTGAAAAACTCTTCCTTTATAATCTGCAGGTGGATATTTGGAGTGCTTTGAAGCCTTCTTTGGAAACGGGAGTATCGTCACATAAAAATAGACAGAAGTATTCCCAGAAACTTCTTTGTGATTTGTGCATTCAACTCACAGAGTTGAAGCTTCTTTTTGATAGAGCAGTTTTGAAACACCCTTTTTGCACAATCTGCAGGAGGATATTTGGAGCTCTTTGAGTGCTACATTGGAAACGGGAATATCGTCACCTGAAAACTAGAAAGAAGCATTCTCTGAAACCACTTTGTGATGTGTGCATTCATCTCACAGAGTTGAACCTTCCTTTTGATAGAGCAGTTTTGAAACCCTCTTTTTGTACAATATGCAAGTGGATATTTGGAGCAAATTGAAGCCTTCTTTGGAAATGGGAATATCTTAAATCTAAAAATTAGGCAGAAGCATTCTCAGAAACTACTTTGTGATGTGTGCAATCAACTCACAGAATTGAACCTTCCTTTTGATACAGCAGTTTTGAAACACTCTTTGTTTAGAATCTGCAAGTGGATATTTGGAGCACATTTATGCCTGTGGTAGAAAAGGAAATATCTTCACATAAAAACTAGACAGAAGCATTCTCAGAAACGAATTTGTGTTGTGTGCATTCTACTCCCATAGTTGAAAATTTCTTTTGATAGAGCAGTCTGGAACCACTCTGTTTCTAAAATCTGCAAATGGACATTTGGAGCGCTTTGAAGGTTATGATGGAAAAGGGAATATCTTCGCATTAAAACTAGACAGAAGCATTCTCAGAAACTTCTTTGTGATGTGTGCATTCAACTCCCAGGTTGAACCTTTCTTTTGTTAGAGCAGTTTTGAAACACTCCTTTTGTAGAATCTGCAGGCGGATATTTAAGTACTCTTTGAAGCATTCTTTGGAAACGAGAATATCTTCACCTAAAACCTAGACAGAAGCATTCTCAGAAACATCTTTGTGATGTGTCCATTCATCTCACAGAGTTGATAGAACAGTTTTGATAGAGCAGTTTTGAAACACTCTTTTTAAAGAATCTGCCAGTTCATATGTGCAGTGCTTTGAGGCTTATGGTAGAAAAGGAAATATCTTCATATAAAAACTAGACAGAAGCATTCTCAGAAACGACTTTGTGATGTGTGCATTCTACACACAAAGTTGAAACTTTCTTTTGATAGAGCAGTTTTGAAACAGTCTTTCCGAAGAATCTTCAAGTGGACATTTCGAGGGCTTTGAGGACCATTGCGGATAAGGAAATATCTTCCCATAAGAAGTAGACAGAAGTATAATCAGAAACTTCATTTTGATGTGTACATTCAACTCACAAAGCAGACCCTTACTTTTGATAGAGAAGTTTTGAAACACTCTTTTTGTAGAATCTGCAATTGGATATTTGGAGCGCTTTCAGGCCTCTGGTAGAAAAGGAAATATCTTCACATAAAAACTAGACAGAAGCATTCTCAGAAACGACTTTGTGATGTGTGTATTCTACTCCCATAGTTGAACATTTCTTTTGATAGAGCCGCCTGGAAACAATCTTCTTGTAGAATCTGCAAGTGGACATTTGGAGCGTTTCGAAGGCTGTGGTTGAAAAGGTAATATCTTCACCCAAAAACTAAATGGAAGCATTGTCCGAAACTTTTTGTGATGTGTGCGTTCAACTCACAGAGCTGAACCTTCCTTTTCATAGACCAGTTTTGAATCACTCTTTTTGTAGAATCCGCATTTAGATATTTGGAGCGCTTTGAAGACTTCATTGGAATCGCGAATACCTTCACATAAAAACTAGACAGAACCATTCTCAGAAACTTCTTTGAGATGTGTGCATTCCACTCACAGAGCTGAACCTTTCTTTTGATAGTGCAGTTTTGAAACATTCTTTTTAAAAAATCTGCAGTTGGACATTTGGAGCTCTTTTAGGCTATCGGTTGAAAAGGAAATATCTTCACATTAAAACAAGACAGAAGCATTCTCAGAAACTCCTTTATGATGTCTGCATTCAACTCACAGAGTTGAACCTTCCTTTTGATAGAGCAGTTTTGAAACTCTCTTTCTGTAGAATCTGGAGGCGGATATTAGGTTGCTTTGAAGCCTTCTTGGGAAACAGGATTATCTTCACATAAAAATTAGACAGAAGCATTCTCAGAAACTTCTTTGTGATGTGTGCATTCAACTCACAGCGTTGAAACTTCCTTTTGCCAGAGCAGTTTTGAAACCCTCTTTTTGAAGAATCTGAAAGTGCATAATTGCAGCACTTTGAGGCTTAAGGTCGAAAAGGAAATATCTTCATATAAAAACTAGACAGAAGCATTCTCAGAAACTACTTTGTGATGTGTGCATTCTACTCACATAGTTGAAATTTCCTTCTGATACTGCAGTTTTGAAACAGTCTTTTTGAGGGATCTTCAAGTGGGCATTTTGAGGGCTTTGGGGACTATTGTGGATAAGGAAATATCTTCACATGAAAAGTAGACAGAAGTGTTCTCAGAAACTTCATTTTGATGGGTGCATTCAATTAACGAAGTACAACCTTACTTTTATAGAGCAGTTTTGAAACGGTCTTTTTGTAGACTCTGCAAGTGGATATTTGGAGCGCTTTGAAGCCTTCGTTGGAAACGGGAATATCTTCCCCTTGAAACTAGACAGAAGCATTCTCAGAAACTTCTTTGTGATGTGGGCATTGAACTCACGGAGCTGAACCTTCCTTTGGATTGAGCAGTTTTGAAAAACTCTTCCTTTATAATCTGCAGGTGGATATTTGGAGTGCTTTGAAGCCTTCTTTGGAAACGGGAGTATCGTCACATAAAAATAGACAGAAGTATTCCCAGAAACTTCTTTGTGATTTGTGCATTCAACTCACAGAGTTGAAGCTTCTTTTTGATAGAGCAGTTTTGAAACACCCTTTTTGCACAATCTGCAGGAGGATATTTGGAGCTCTTTGAGTGCTACATTGGAAACGGGAATATCGTCACCTAAAAACTAGAAAGAAGCATTCTCTGAAACCACTTTGTGATGTGTGCATTCATCTCACAGAGTTGAACCTTCCTTTTCATAGAGCAGTTTTGAAACCCTCTTTTTGTACAATCTGCAAGTGGATATTTGGAGCAAATTGAAGCCTTCTTTGGAAATGGGAATATCTTAAATCTAAATATTAGGCAGAAGCATTCTCAGAAACTACTTTGTGATGTGTGCATTCAACTCACAGAATTGAACCTTCCTTTTGATACAGCAGTTTTGAAACACTCTTTGTTTAGAATCTGCAAGTGGATATTTGGAGCACATGTATGCCTACGGTAGAAAAGGAAATATCTTCACATAAAAACTAGACAGAAGCATTCTCACAAACGAATTTGTGTTGTGTGCATTCTACTCCCATAGTTGAAAATTTCTTTTGATAGAGCAGTCTGGAAACACTCTGTTTCTAAAATCTGCAAATGGACATTTGGAGCGCTTTGAAGGTTATGATGGAAAAGGGAATATCCTCGCATTAAAACTAGACAGAAGCATTCTCAGAAACTTCTTTGTGATGTGTGCATTCAACTCCCAGGTTGAACCTTTCTTTTGTTAGAGCAGTTTTGAAACACTCCTTTTGTAGAATCTGCAGGCGGATATTTAAGTACTCTTTGAAGCATTCTTTGGAAACGAGAATATCTTCACCTAAAACCTAGACAGAAGCATTCTCAGAAACATCTTTGTGATGTGTCCATTCATCTCACAGAGTTGATAGAACAGTTTTGATAGAGCAGTTTTGAAACACTCTTTTTAAAGAATCTGCCAGTTCATATGTGCAGTGCTTTGAGGCTTATGGTAGAAAAGGAAATATCTTCATATAAAAACTAGACAGAAGCATTCTCAGAAACGACTTTGTGATGTGTGCATTCTACACACAAAGTTGAAACTTTCTTTTGATAGAGCAGTTTTGAAACCGTCTTTCCGAAGAATCTTCAAGTGGGCATTTCGAGGGCTTTGAGGACCATTGCGGATAAGGAAATATCTTCCCATAAGAAGTAGACAGAAGTATAATCAGAAACTTCATTTTGATGTGTACATTCAACTCACAAAGCAGACCCTTACTTTTGATAGAGAAGTTTTGAAACACTCTTTTTGTAGAATCTGCAATTGGATATTTGGAGCGCTTTCAGGCCTCTGGTAAAAAAGGAAATATCTTCACATAAAAACTAGACAGAAGCATTCTCAGAAACGACTTTGTGATGTGTGTATTCTACTCCCATAGTTGAACATTTCTTTTGATAGAGCCGCCTGGAAACAATCTTCTTGTAGAATCTGCAAGTGGACATTTGGAGCGTTTCGAAGGCTGTGGTTGAAAAGGTAATATCTTCACCTAAAAACTAAATGGAAGCATTCTCCGAAAAGTTTTGTGATGTGTGCGTTCAACTCACAGAGCTGAACCTTCCTTTTCATAGACCAGTTTTGAATCACTCTTTTTGTAGAATCCGCATTTAGATATTTGGAGCGCTTTGAAGACTTCATTGGAATCGCGAATACCTTCACATAAAAACTAGACAGAACCATTCTCAGAAACTTCTTTGAGATGTGTGCATTCAACTCACAGAGCTGAACCTTTCTTTTGATAGTGCAGTTTTGAAACATTCTTTTTAAAAAATCTGCAGTTGGACATTTGGAGCTCTTTTAGGCTATCGGTTGAAAAGGAAATATCTTCACATTAAAACAAGACAGAAGCATTCTCAGAAACTCCTTTATGATGTCTGCATTCAACTCACAGAGTTGAACCTTCCTTTCCATAGAGCAGTTTTGAAACACTCTTTCTGTAGAATCTGGAGGCGGATATTAGGGTGCTTTGAAGCCTTCTTGGGAAACAGGATTATCTTCACATAAAAATTAGACAGAAGCATTCTCAGAAACTTCTTTGTGATGTGTGCATTCAACTCACAGCGTTGAAACTTCCTTTTGCCAGAGCAGTTTTGAAACCCTCTTTTTGAAGGATCTGAAAGTGCATAATTGCAGCACTTTGAGGCTTAAGGTCGAAAAGGAAATATCTTCATATAAAAACTAGACAGAAGCATTCTCAGAAACTACTTTGTGATGTGTGCATTCTACTCACATAGTTGAAATTTCCTTCTGATACTGCAGTTTTGAAACAGTCTTTTTGAGGGATCTTCAAGTGGGCATTTTGAGGGCTTTGGGGACTATTGTGGATAAAGAAATATCTTCACATGAAAAGTAGACAGAAGTGTTCTCAGAAACTTCATTTTGATGGGTGCATTCCACTAACAAAGTACAACCTTACTTTTATAGAGCAGTTTTGAAACAGTCTTTTTGTAGACTCTGCAAGTGGATATTTGGAGCGCTTTGAAGCATTCGTTGGAAACGGGAATATATTCTCTTTGAAACTAGACAGAAGCATTCTCAGAAACTTCTTTGTGATGTGGGCATTGAACTCACGGAGCTGAACTTTCTTTTGGATTGAGCAGTTTTGAAAAACTCTTCTTTTATAATCTGCAGGTGGATATTTGGAGTGCTTTGAAGCTTTCTTTGGAAACGGGAGTATCGTCACATAAAAATAGACAGAAGTATTCCCAGAAACTTCTTTGTGATTTGTGCATTCAACTCACAGAGTTGAAGCTTCTTTTTGATAGAGCAGTTTTGAAACACCCTTTTTGCACAATCTGCAGGAGGATATTTGGAGCTCTTTGAGTGCTACATTGGAAACGGGAATATCGTCACTTAAAAACTAGAAAGAAGCATTCTCTGAAACCACTTTGTGATGTGTGCATTCATCTCACAGAGTTGAACTTTCTTTTTGATAGAGCAGTTTTGAAACCTTCTTTTTGTACAATCTGCAAGTGGATATTTGGAGCAAATTGAAGCTTTCTTTGGAAATGGGAATATCTTAAATCTAAAAATTAGGCAGAAGCATTCTCAGAAACTACTTTGTGATGTGTGCATTCAACTCACAGAATTGAACCTTCCTTTTGATACAGCAGTTTTGAAACACTCTTTGTTTAGAATCTGCAAGTGGATATTTGGAGCACATTTATGCCTGTGGTAGAAAAGGAAATATCTTCACATAAAAACTAGACAGAAGCATTCTCAGAAACGAATTTGTGTTGTGTGCATTCTACTCCCATAGTTGAAAATTTCTTTTGATAGAGCAGTCTGGAACCACTCTGTTTCTAAAATCTGCAAATGGACATTTGGAGCGCTTTGAAGGTTATGATGGAAAAGGGAATATCTTCGCATTAAAACTAGACAGAAGCATTCTCAGAAACTTCTTTGTGATGTGTGCATTCAACTCCCAGGTTGAACCTTTCTTTTGTTAGAGCAGTTTTGAAACACTCCTTTTGTAGAATCTGCAGGCGGATATTTAAGTACTCTTTGAAGCATTCTTTGGAAACGAGAATATCTTCACCTAAAACCTAGACAGAAGCATTCTCAGAAAGATCTTTGTGATGTGTCCATTCATCTCACAGAGTTGATAGAACAGTTTTGATAGAGCAGTTTTGAAACACTCTTTTTAAAGAATCTGCCAGTTCATATGTGCAGTGCTTTGGGGCTTATGGTAGAAAAGGAAATATCTTCATATAAAAACTAGACAGAAGCATTCTCAGAAACGACTTTGTGATGTGTGCATTCTACACACAAAGTTGAAACTTTCTTTTGATAGAGCAGTTTTGAAACAGTCTTTCCGAAGAATCTTCAAGTGGGCATTTCGAGGGCTTTGAGGACCATTGCGGATAAGGAAATATCTTCCCATAAGAAGTAGACAGAAGTATAATCAGAAACTTCATTTTGATGTGTACATTCAACTCACAAAGCAGACCCTTACTTTTGATAGAGAAGTTTTGAAACAGTCTTTTTGTAGAATCTGCAATTGGATATTTGGAGCGCTTTCAGGCCTCTGGTAGAAAAGGAAATATCTTCACATAAAAACTAGACAGAAGCATTCTCAGAAACGACTTTGTGATGTGTGTATTCTACTCCCATAGTTGAACATTTCTTTTGATAGAGCCGCCTGGAAACAATCTTCTTGTAGAATCTGCAAGTGGACATTTGGAGCGTTTCGAAGGCTGTGGTTGAAAAGGTAATATCTTCACCTAAAAACTAAATGGAAGCATTGTCCGAAACTTTTTGTGATGTGTGCGTTCAACTCACAGAGCTGAACCTTCCTTTTCATAGACCAGTTTTGAATCACTCTTTTTGTAGGATCCGCATTTAGATATTTGGAGCGCTTTGAAGACTTCATTGGAATCGCGAATACCTTCACATAAAAACTAGACAGAACCATTCTCAGAAACTTCTTTGAGATGTGTGCATTCAACTCACAGAGTTGAACCTTTCTTTTGATAGTGCAGTTTTGAAACATTCTTTTTAAAAAATCTGCAGTTGGACATTTGGAGCTCTTTTAGGCTATCGGTTGAAAAGGAAATATCTTCACATTAAAACAAGACAGAAGCATTCTCAGAAACTCCTTTATGATGTCTGCATTCAACTCACAGAGTTGAACTTTCCTTTTCATAGAGCAGTTTTGAAACACTCTTTCTGTAGAATCTGGAGGCGGATATTAGGGTGCTTTGAAGCCTTCTTGGGAAACAGGATTATCTTCACATAAAAATTAGACAGAAGCATTCTCAGAAACTTCTTTGTGATGTGTGCATTCAACTCACAGCGTTGAAACTTCCTTTTGCCAGAGCAGTTTTGAAACCCTCTTTTTGAAGAATCTGAAAGTGCATAATTGCTTCACTTTGAGGCTTAAGGTCGAAAAGGAAATATCTTCATATAAAAACTAGACAGAAGCATTCTCAGAAACTACTTTGTGATGTGTGCATTCTACTCACATAGTTGAAATTTCCTTCTGATACTGCAGTTTTGAAACAGTCTTTTTGAGGGATCTTCAAGTGGGCATTTTGAGGGCTTTCGGGACTATTGTGGATAAGGAAATATCTTCACATGAAAAGTAGACAGAAGTGTTCTCAGAAACTTCATTTTGATGGGTGCATTCCACTAACAAAGTACAACCTTACTTTTATAGAGCAGTTTTGAAACAGTCTTTTTGTAGACTCTGCAAGTGGATATTTGGAGCGCTTTGAAGCCTTCGTTGGAAACGGGAATATCTTCCCCTTGAAACCAGACAGAAGCATTCTCAGAAACTTCTTTGTGATGTGGGCATTGAACTCACGGAGCTGAACCTTCCTTTGGATTGAGCAGTTTTGAAAAACTCTTCCTTTATAATCTGCAGGTGGATATTTGGAGTGCTTTGAAGCCTTCTTTGGAAACGGGAGTATCGTCACATAAAAATAGACAGAAGTATTCCCAGAAACTTCTTTGTGATTTGTGCATTCAACTCACAGAGTTGAAGCTTCTTTTTGATAGAGCAGTTTTGAAACACCCTTTTTGCACAATCTGCAGGAGGATATTTGGAGCTCTTTGAGTGCTACATTGGAAACGGGAATATCGTCACCTAAAAACTAGAAAGAAGCATTCTCGGAAACCACTTTGTGATGTGTGCATTCATCTCACAGAGTTGAACCTTCCTTTTGATAGAGCAGTTTTGAAACCCTCTTTTTGTACACTCTGCAAGTGGATATTTGGAGCAAATTGAAGCCTTCTTTGGAAATGGGAATATCTTAAATCTAAAAATTAGGCGGAAGCATTCTCAGAAACTACTTTGTGATGTGTGCATTCAACTCACAGAATTGAACCTTCCTTTTGATACAGCAGTTTTGAAACACTCTTTGTTTAGAATCTGCAAGTGGATATTTGGAGCACATTTATGCCTGTGGTAGAAAAGGAAATATCTTCACATAAAAACTAGACAGAAGCATTCTCAGAAACGAATTAGTGTTGTGTGTATTCTACTCCCATAGTTGAAAATTTCTTTTGATAGAGCAGTCTGGAACCACTCTGTTTCTAAAATCTGCAAATGGACATTTGGAGCGCTTTGAAGGTTATGATGGAAAAGGGAATATCTTCGCATTAAAACTAGACAGAAGCATTCTCAGAAACTTCTTTGTGATGTGTGCATTCAACTCCCAGGTTGAACTTTTCTTTTGTTAGAGCAGTTTTGAAACACTCCTTTTGTAGAATCTGCAGGCGGATATTTAAGTACTCTTTGAAGCATTCTTTGGAAACGAGAATATCTTCACCTAAAACCTAGACAGAAGCATTCTCAGAAACATCCTTGTGATGTGTCCATTCATCTCACAGAGTTGATAGAACAGTTTTGATAGAGCAGTTTTGAAACACTCTTTTTAAAGAATCTGCCAGTTCATATGTGCAGTGCTTTGAGGCTTATGGTAGAAAAGGAAATATCTTCATATAAAAACTAGACAGAAGCATTCTCAGAAACGACTTTGTGATGTGTGCATTCTACACACAAAGTTGAAACTTTCTTTTGATAGAGCAGTTTTGAAACCGTCTTTCCGAAGAATATTCAAGTGGGCATTTCGAGGGCTTTGAGGACCATTGCGGATAAGGAAATATCTTCCCATAAGAAGTAGACAGAAGTATAATCAGAAACTTCATTTTGATGTGTACATTCAACTCACAAAGCAGACCCTTACTTTTGATAGAGAAGTTTTGAAACACTCTTTTTGTAGAATCTGCAATTGGATATTTGGAGCGCTTTCAGGCCTCTGGTAGAAAAGGAAATATCTTCACATAAAAACTAGACAGAAGCATTCTCAGAAACGACTTTGTGATGTGTGTATTCTACTCCCATAGTTGAACATTTCTTTTGATAGAGCCGCCTGGAAACAATCTTCTTGTAGAATCTGCAAGTGGACATTTGGAGCGTTTCGAAGGCTGTGGTTGAAAAGGTAATATCTTCACCTAAAAACTAAATGGAAGCATTGTCCGAAACTTTTTGTGATGTGTGTGTTCAACTCACAGAGCTGAACCTTCCTTTTCATAGACCAGTTTTGAATCACTCTTTTTGTAGGATCCGCATTTAGATATTTGGAGCGCTTTGAAGACTTCATTGGAATCGCGAATACCTTCACATAAAAACTAGACAGAACCATTCTCAGAAACTTCTTTGAGATGTGTGCATTCAACTCACAGAGCTGAACCTTTCTTTTGATAGTGCAGTTTTGAAACATTCTTTTTAAAAAATCTGCAGTTGGACATTTGGAGCTCTTTTAGGCTATCGGTTGAAAAGGAAATATCTTCACATTAAAACAAGACAGAAGCATTCTCAGAAACTCCTTTATGATGTCTGCATTCAACTCACAGAGTTGAACCTTCCTTTTGATAGAGCAGTTTTGAAACACTCTTTCTGTAGAATCTGGAGGCGGATATTAGGGTGCTTTGAAGCCTTCTTGGGAAACAGGATTATCTTCACATAAAAATTAGACAGAAGCATTCTCAGAAACTTCTTTGTGATGTGTGCATTCAACTCACAGCGTTGAAACTTCCTTTTGCCAGAGCAGTTTTGAAACCCTCTTTTTGAAGAATCTGAAAGTGCATAATTGCAGCACTTTGAGGCTTAAGGTCGAAAAGGAAATATCTTCATATAAAAACTAGACAGAAGCATTCTCAGAAACTACTTTGTGATGTGTGCATTCTACTCACATAGTTGAAATTTCCTTCTGATACTGCAGTTTTGAAACAGTCTTTTTGAGGGATCTTCAAGTGGGCATTTTGAGGGCTTTGGGGACTATTGTGGATAAGGAAATATCTTCACATGAAAAGTAGACAGAAGTGTTCTCAGAAACTTCATTTTGATGGGTGCATTCCACTAACAAAGTACAACCTTACTTTTATAGAGCAGTTTTGAAACAGTCTTTTTGTAGACTCTGCAAGTGGATATTTGGAGCGCTTTGAAGCCTTCGTTGGAAACGGGAATATCTTCCCCTTGAAACTAGACAGAAGCATTCTCAGAAACTTCTTTGTGATGTGGGCATTGAACTCACGGATCTGAACCTTCCTTTGGATTGAGCAGTTTTGAAAAACTCTTCCTTTATAATCTGCAGGTGGATATTTGGAGTGCTTTGAAGCCTTCTTTGGAAACGGGAGTATCGTCACATAAAAATAGACAGAAGTATTCCCAGAAACTTCTTTGTGATTTGTGCATTCAACTCACAGAGTTGAAGCTTCTTTTTGATAGAGCAGTTTTGAAACACCCTTTTTGCACAATCTGCAGGAGGATATTTGGAGCTCTTTGAGTGCTACATTGGAAACGGGAATATCGTCACCTAAAAACTAGAAAGAAGCATTCTCTGAAACCACTTTGTGATGTGTGCATTCATCTCACAGAGTTGAACCTTCCTTTTGATAGAGCAGTT
Organism: Homo sapiens; assembly: GCF_000001405.40. NCBI lineage: Eukaryota > Metazoa > Chordata > Mammalia > Primates > Hominidae > Homo > Homo sapiens. The sequence goes on from NC_000007.14 coordinate 61,246,324, forward strand.
TTGAAACCCTCTTTTTGTACAATCTGCAAGTGGATATTTGGAGCAAATTGAAGCCTTCTTTGGAAATGGGAATATCTTAAATCTAAAAATTAGGCAGAAGCATTCTCAGAAACTACTTTGTGATGTGTGCATTCAACTCACAGAATTGAACCTTCCTTTTGATACAGCAGTTTTGAAACACTCTTTTTTCAGAATCTGCAAGTGGATATTTGGAGCACATTTATGCCTGTGGTAGAAAAGGAAATATCTTCACATAAAAACTAGACAGAAGCATTCTCAGAAACGAATTTGTGTTGTGTGCATTCTACTCCCATAGTTGAAAATTTCTTTTGATAGAGCAGTCTGGAAACACTCTGTTTCTAAAATCTGCAAATGGACATTTGGAGCGCTTTGAAGGTTATGATGGAAAAGGGAATATCTTCGCATTAAAACTAGACAGAAGCATTCTCAGAAACTTCTTTGTGATGTGTGCATTCAACTCCCAGGTTGAACCTTTCTTTTGTTAGAGCAGTTTTGAAACACTCCTTTTGTAGAATCTGCAGGCGGATATTTAAGTACTCTTTGAAGCATTCTTTGGAAACGAGAATATCTTCACCTAAAACCTAGACAGAAGCATTCTCAGAAACATCTTTGTGATGTGTCCATTCATCTCACAGAGTTGATAGAACAGTTTTGATAGAGCAGTTTTGAAACACTCTTTTTAAAGAATCTGCCAGTTCATATGTGCAGTGCTTTGAGGCTTATGGTAGAAAAGGAAATATCTTCCTATAAAAACTAGACAGAAGCATTCTCAGAAACGACTTTGTGATGTGTGCATTCTACACACAAAGTTGAAACTTTTTTTTGATAGAGCAGTTTTGAAACCGTCTTTCCGAAGAATCTTCAAGTGGGCATTTCGAGGGCTTTGAGGACCATTGCGGATAAGGAAATATCTTCCCATAAGAAGTAGACAGAAGTATAATCAGAAACTTCATTTTGATGTGTACATTCAACTCACAAAGCAGACCCTTACTTTTGATAGAAAAGTTTTGAAACACTATTTTTGTAGAATCTGCAATTGGATGTCTGGAGCGCTTTCAGGCCTCTGGTAGAAAAGGAAATATCTTCACATAAAAACTAGACAGAAGCATTCTCAGAAACGACTTTGTGATGTGTGTATTCTACTCCCATAGTTGAACATTTCTTTTGATAGAGCCGCCTGGAAACAATCTTCTTGTAGAATCTGCAAGTGGACATTTGGAGCGTTTCGAAGGCTGTGGTTGAAAAGGTAATATCTTCACCTAAAAACTAAATGGAAGCATTGTCCGAAACGTTTTGTGATGTGTGCGTTCAACTCACAGAGCTGAACCTTCCTTTTCATAGACCAGTTTTGAATCACTCTTTTTGTAGAATCCGCATTTAGATATTTGGAGCGCTTTGAAGACTTCATTGGAATCGCGAATACCTTCACATAAAAACTAGGCAGAACCATTCTCAGAAACTTCTTTGAGATGTGTGCATTCAACTCACAGAGCTGAACCTTTCTTTTGATAGTGCAGTTTTGAAACATTCTTTTTAAAAAATCTGCAGTTGGACATTTGGAGCTCTTTTAGGCTATCGGTTGAAAAGGAAATATCTTCACATTAAAAGAAGACAGAAGCATTCTCAGAAACTCCTTTATGATGTCTGCATTCAACTCACAGAGTTGAACCTTCCTTTCCATAGAGCAGTTTTGAAACACTCTTTCTGTAGAATCTGGAGGCGGATATTAGGGTGCTTTGAAGCCTTCTTGGGAAACAGGATTATCTTCACATAAAAATTAGACAGAAGCATTCTCAGAAACTTCTTTGTGATGTGTGCATTCAACTCACAGCGTTGAAACTTCCTTTTGCCAGAGCAGTTTTGAAACCCTCTTTTTGAAGAATCTGAAAGTGCATAATTGCAGCACTTTGAGGCTTAAGGTCGAAAAGGAAATATCTTCATATAAAAACTAGACAGAAGCATTCTCAGAAACTACTTTGTGATGTGTGCATTCTACTCACATAGTTGAAATTTCCTTCTGATACTGCAGTTTTGAAACAGTCTTTTTGAGGGATCTTCAAGTGGGCATTTTGAGGGCTTTCGGGACTATTGTGGATAAGGAAATATCTTCACATGAAAAGTAGACAGAAGTGTTCTCAGAAACTTCATTTTGATGGGTGCATTCCACTAACAAAGTACAACCTTACTTTTATAGAGCAGTTTTGAAACAGTCTTTTTGTAGACTCTGCAAGTGGATATTTGGAGCGCTTTGAAGCCTTCGTTGGAAACGGGAATATCTTCCCCTTGAAACCAGACAGAAGCATTCTCAGAAACTTCTTTGTGATGTGGGCATTGAACTCACGGAGCTGAACCTTCCTTTGGATTGAGCAGTTTTGAAAAACTCTTCCTTTATAATCTGCAGGTGGATATTTGGAGTGCTTTGAAGCCTTCTTTGGAAACGGGAGTATCGTCACATAAAAATAGACAGAAGTATTCCCAGAAACTTCTTTGTGATTTGTGCATTCAACTCACAGAGTTGAAGCTTCTTTTTGATAGAGCAGTTTTGAAACACCCTTTTTGCACAATCTGCAGGAGGATATTTGGAGCTCTTTGAGTGCTACATTGGAAACGGGAATATCGTCACCTGAAAACTAGAAAGAAGCATTCTCTGAAACCACTTTGTGATGTGTGCATTCATCTCACAGAGTTGAACCTTCCTTTTGATAGAGCAGTTTTGAAACCCTCTTTTTGTACAATCTGCAAGTGGATATTTGGAGCAAATTGAAGCCTTCTTTGGAAATGGGAATATCTTAAATCTAAAAATTAGGCAGAAGCATTCTCAGAAACTACTTTGTGATGTGTGCATTCAACTCACAGAATTGAACCTTCCTTTTGATACAGCAGTTTTGAAACACTCTTTGTTTAGAATCTGCAAGTGGATATTTGGAGCACATTTATGCCTGTGGTAGAAAAGGAAATATCTTCACATAAAAACTAGACAGAAGCATTCTCAGAAACGAATTTGTGTTGTGTGCATTCTACTCCCATAGTTGAAAATTTCTTTTGATAGAGCAGTCTTGAACCACTCTGTTTCTAAAATCTGCAAATGGACATTTGGAGCGCTTTGAAGGTTATGATGGAAAAGGGAATATCTTCGCATTAATACTAGACAGAAGCATTCTCAGAAACTTCTTTGTGATGTGTGCATTCAACTCCCAGGTTGAACCTTTCTTTTGTTAGAGCAGTTTTGAAACACTCCTTCTGTAGAATCTGCAGGCGGATATTTAAGTACTCTTTGAAGCATTCTTTGGAAACGAGAATATCTTCACCTAAAACCTAGACAGAAGCATTCTCAGAAACATCTTTGTGATGTGTCCATTCATCTCACAGAGTTGATAGAACAGTTTTGATAGAGCAGTTTTGATACACTCTTTTTAAAGGATCTGCCAGTTCATATGTGCAGTGCTTTGAGGCTTATGGTAGAAAAGGAAATATCTTCATATAAAAACTAGACAGAAGCATTCTCAGAAACGACATTGTGATGTGTGCATTCTACACACAAAGTTGAAACTTTCTTTTGATAGAGCAGTTTTTAAACCGTCTTTCCGAAGAATCTTCAAGTGGGCATTTCGAGGGCTTTGAGGACCATTGCGGATAAGAAATATCTTCCCATAAGAAGTAGACAGAAGTATAATCAGAAACTTCATTTTGATGTGTACATTCAACTCACAAAGCAGACCCTAACTTTTGATAGAGAAGTTTTGAAACACTCTTTTTGTAGAATCTGCAATTGGATGTTTGGAGCGCTTTCAGGCCTCTGGTAGAAAAGGAAATATCTTCACATAAAAACTAGACAGAAGCATTCTCAGAAACGACTTTGTGATGTGTGTATTCTACTCCCATAGTTGAACATTTCTTTTGATAGAGCCGCCTGGAAACAATCTTCTTGTAGAATCTGCAAGTGGACATTTGGAGCGTTTCGAAGGCTGTGATTGAAAAGGTAATATCTTCACCTAAAAACTAAATGGAAGCATTGTCCGAAACTTTTTGTGATGTGTGCGTTCAACTCACAGAGCTGAACCTTCCTTTTCATAGACCAGTTTTGAATCACTCTTTTTGTAGAATCCGCATTTAGATATTTGGAGAGCTTTGAAGACTTCATTGGAATCGCGAATACATTCACATAAAAACTAGACAGAACCATTCTCAGAAACTTCTTTGAGATGTGTGCATTCAACTCACAGAGCTGAACCTTTCTTTTGATAGTGCAGTTTTGAAACATTCTTTTTAAAAAATCTGCAGTTGGACATTTGGAGCTCTTTTAGGCTATCGGTTGAAAAGGAAATATCTTCACATTAAAACAAGACAGAAGCATTCTCAGAAACTCCTTTATGATGTCTGCATTCAACTCACAGAGTTGAACCTTCCTTTTGATAGAGCAGTTTTGAAACACTCTTTCTGTAGAATCTGGAGGCGGATATTAGGGTGCTTTGAAGCCTTCTTGGGAAACAGGATTATCTTCACATAAAAATTAGACAGAAGCATTCTCAGAAACTTCTTTGTGATGTGTGCATTCAACTCACAGCGTTGAAACTTCCTTTTGCCAGAGCAGTTTTGAAACCCTCTTTTTGAAGAATCTGAAAGTGCATAATTGCAGCACTTTGAGGCTTAAGGTCGAAAAGGAAATATCTTCATATAAAAACTAGACAGAAGCATTCTCAGAAACTACTTTGTGATGTGTGCATTCTACTCACATAGTTGAAATTTCCTTCTGATACTGCAGTTTTGAAACAGTCTTTTTGAGTGATCTTCAAGTGGGCATTTTGAGGGCTTTGGGGACTATTGTGGATAAGGAAATATCTTCACATGAAAAGTAGACAGAAGTGTTCTCAGAAACTTCATTTTGATGGGTGCATTCCACTAACAAAGTACAACCTTACTTTTATAGAGCAGTTTTGAAACAGTCTTTTTGTAGACTCTGCAAGTGGATATTTGGAGCGCTTTGAAGCCTTCGTTGGAAACGGGAATATCTTCCCCTTGAAACTAGACAGAAGCATTCTCAGAAACTTCTTTGTGATGTGGGCATTGAACTCACGGAGCTGAAACTTCCTTTGGATTGAGCAGTTTTGAAAAACTCTTCCTTTATAATCTGCAGGTGGATATTTGGAGTGCTTTGAAGCCTTCTTTGGAAACGGGAGTATCGTCACATAAAAATAGACAGAAGTATTCCCAGAAACTTCTTTGTGATTTGTGCATTCAACTGACAGAGTTGAAGCTTCTTTTTGATAGAGCAGTTTTGAAACACCCTTTTTGCACAATCTGCAGGAGGATATTTGGAGCTCTTTGAGTGCTACATTGGAAACGGGAATATCGTCACCTAAAAACTAGAAAGAAGCATTCTCTGAAACCACTTTGTGATGTGTGCATTCATCTCACAGAGTTGAACCTTCCTTTTGATAGAGCAGTTTTGAAACCCTCTTTTTGTACAATCTGCAAGTGGATATTTGGAGCAAATTGAAGCCTTCTTTGGAAATTAGAATATCTTAAATCTAAAAATTAGGCAGAAGCATTCTCAGAAACTACTTTGTGATGTGTGCATTCAACTCACAGAATTGAACCTTCCTTTTGATACAGCAGTTTTGAAACACTCTTTTTTCAGAATCTGCAAGTGGATATTTGGAGCACATTTATGCCTGTGGTAGAAAAGGAAATATCTTCACATAAAAACTAGACAGAAGCATTCTCAGAAACGAATTTGTGTTGTGTGCATTCTACTCCCATAGTTGAAAATTTCTTTTGATAGAGCAGTCTGGAACCACTCTGTTTCTAAAATCTGCAAATGGACATTTGGAGCGCTTTGAAGGTTATGATGGAAAAGGGAATATCTTCGCATTAAAACTAGACAGAAGCATTCTCAGAAACTTCTTTGTGATGTGTGCATTCAACTCCCAGGTTGAACCTTTCTTTTGTTAGAGCAGTTTTGAAACACTCCTTCTGTAGAATCTGCAGGCGGATATTTAAGTACTCTTTGAAGCATTCTTTGGAAACGAGAATATCTTCACCTAAAACCTAGACAGAAGCATTCTCAGAAACATCTTTGTGATGTGTCCATTCATCTCACAGAGTTGATAGAACAGTTTTGATAGAGCAGTTTTGAAACACTCTTTTTAAAGGATCTGCCAGTTCATATGTGCAGTGCTTTGAGGCTTATGGTAGAAAAGGAAATATCTTCATATAAAAACTAGACAGAAGCATTCTCAGAAACGACATTGTGATGTGTGCATTCTACACACAAAGTTGAAACTTTTTTTTGATAGAGCAGTTTTGAAACAGTCTTTCCGAAGAATCTTCAAGTGGGCATTTCGAGGGCTTTGAGGACCATTGTGGATAAGGAAATATCTTCCCATAAGAAGTAGACAGAAGTATAATCAGAAACTTCATTTTGATGTGTACATTCAACTCACAAAGCAGACCCTTACTTTTGATAGAGAAGTTTTGAAACACTCTTTCTGTAGAATCTGCAATTGGATATTTGGAGCGCTTTCAGGCCTCTGGTAGAAAAGGAAATATCTTCACATAAAAACTAGACAGAAGCATTCTCAGAAACGACTTTGTGATGTGTGTATTCTACTCCCATAGTTGAACATTTCTTTTGATAGAGCCGCCTGGAAACAATCTTCTTGTAGAATCTGCAAGTGGACATTTGGAGCGTTTCGAAGGCTGTGGTTGAAAAGGTAATATCTTCACCTAAAAACTAAATGGAAGCATTGTCCGAAACTTTTTGTGATGTGTGCGTTCAACTCACAGAGCTGAACCTTCCTTTTCATAGACCAGTTTTGAATCACTCTTTTTGTAGAATCCGCATTTAGATATTTGGAGCGCTTTGAAGACTTCATTGGAATCGCGAATACCTTCACATAAAAACTAGACAGAACCATTCTCAGAAACTTCTTTGAGATGTGTGCATTCAACTCACAGAGCTGAACCTTTCTTTTGATAGTGCAGTTTTGAAACATTCTTTTTAAAAAATCTGCAGTTGGACATTTGGAGCTCTTTTAGGGTATCGGTTGAAAAGGAAATATCTTCACATTAAAACAAGACAGAAGCATTCTCAGAAACTCCTTTATGATGTCTGCATTCAACTCACAGAGTTGAACCTTCCTTTTCATAGAGCAGTTTTGAAACACTCTTTCTGTAGAATCTGGAGGCTGATATTAGGGTGCTTTGAAGCCTTCTTGGGAAACAGGATTATCTTCACATAAAAATTAGACAGAAGCATTCTCAGAAACTTCTTTGTGATGTGTGCATTCAACTCACAGCGTTGAAACTTCCTTTTGCCAGAGCAGTTTTGAAACCCTCTTTTTGAAGAATCTGAAAGTGCATAATTGCAGCACTTTGAGGCTTAAGGTCGAAAAGGAAATATCTTCATATAAAAACTAGACAGAAGCATTCTCAGAAACTACTTTGTGATGTGTGCATTCTACTCACATAGTTGAAATTTCCTTCTGATACTGCAGTTTTGAAACAGTCTTTTTGAGGGATCTTCAAGTGGGCATTTTGAGGGCTTTGGGGACTATTGTGGATAAGGAAATATCTTCACATGAAAAGTCGACAGAAGTGTTCTCAGAAACTTCATTTTGACGGGTGCATTCCACTAACAAAGTACAACCTTACTTTTATAGAGCAGTTTTGAAACAGTCTTTTTGTAGACTCTGCAAGTGGATATTTGGAGCGCTTTGAAGCCTTCGTTGGAAACGGGAATATCTTCCCCTTGAAACTAGACAGAAGCATTCTCAGAAACTTCTTTGTGATGTGGGCATTGAATTCACGGAGCTGAACCTTCCTTTGGATTGAGCAGTTTTGAAAAACTCTTCCTTTATAATCTGCAGGTGGATATTTGGAGTGCTTTGAAGCCTTCTTTGGAAACGGGAGTATCGTCACATAAAAATAGACAGAAGTATTCTCAGAGACTTCTTTGTGATTTGTGCATTCAACTCACAGAGTTGAAGCTTCTTTTTGATAGAGCAGTTTTGAAACACCCTTTTTGCACAATCTGCAGGAGGATATTTGGAGCTCTTTGAGTGCTACATTGGAAACGGGAATATCGTCACCTAAAAACTGGAAAGAAGCATTCTCGGAAACCACTTTGTGATGTGTGCATTCATCTCACAGAGTTGAACCTTCCTTTTGATAGAGCAGTTTTGAAACCCTCTTTTTGTACACTCTGCAAGTGGATATTTGGAGCAAATTGAAGTCTTCTTTGGAAATGGGAATATCTTAAAATTAAAAATTAGGCAGAAGCATTCTCAGAAACTACTTTGTGATGTGTGCATTCAACTCACAGAATTGAACCTTCCTTTTGATAGAGCAGTTTTGAAACACTCTTTTTTTAGAATCTGCCAGTGGATATTTGGAGCACATTTAAGCCTATGGTAGAAAAGGAAATATCTTCACATAAAAACTAGACAGAAGCATTCTCAGAAACGAATTTGTGATGTGTGCATTCTACTCCCATAGTTGAAAATTTCTTTTGGTAGAGCAGTCTGGAAACACTCTGTTTGTAAAATCTGCAAATGGACATTTGGAGCGCTTTGAAGGTTATGGTGGAAGAGGGAATATCTTCGCATTAAAACTAATCAGAAGCATTCTCAGAAACTTCTTTGTGATGTGTGCATTCAACTCCCAGGTTGAACCTTTCTTTTGTTAGAGCAGTTTTGAAACACTCCTTTTGTAAAATCTGCAGGCGGATATTTAAGTACTATTTGAAGCATTCTTGGGAAACGAGAATATCTTCACCTAAAACCTAGACAGAAGCATTCTCAGAAACGTCTTTGTGATGTGTCCACTCAACTCACAGAGTTGATAGAACAGTTTTGATAGAGCAGTTTTGAAACACTCTTTTTGAAGAATCTGCCAGTTCATATGTGCAGTGCTTTGAGGCTTATGGTAGAAAAGGAAATATCTTCCTATAAAAACTAGACAGAAGCATTCTCAGAAACGACTTTGTGATGTGTGCATTCTACACACAAAGTTGAAACTTTCTTTTGATAGAGCAGTTTTGAAACAGTCTTTCCGAAGAATCTTCAAGTGGGCATTTCGAGGGCTTTGAGGACCATTGCGGATAAGGAAATATCTTCACATAAGCAGTAGACAGAAGTATAATCAGAAACTTCATTTTGATGTGTACATTCAACTCACAAAGCAGACCCTTACTTTTGATAGAGAAGTTTTGAAACACTCTTTTTGTAGAATCTGCAATTGGATATTTGGAGCGCTTTCAGGCCTCTGGTAGAAAAGGAAATATCTTCACATGAAAACTAGACAGAAGCATTCTCAGAAACGACTTTGTGATGTGTGTATTCTACTCCCATAGTTGAACATTTCTTTTGATAGAGCCGCCTGGAAACAATCTTCTTGTAGAATCTGCAAGTGGACATTTGGAGCGTTTTGAAGGCTGTGGTTGAAAAGGTAATATCTTCACCTAAAAACTAAATGGAAGCATTCTCCGAAACTTTTTGTGATGTGTGCGTTCAACACACAGAGCTGAACCTTCCTTTTCTTAGACCAGTTTTGAATCACTCTTTTTGTAGAATCCGCATTTAGATATTTGGAGCGCTTTGAAGACTTCATTGGAATCGCGAATATCTTCACATAAAAACTAGACCGAACCATTCTCAGAAACTCCTTTGAGATGTGTGCATTCAACTCACAGAGCTGAACCTTTCTTTTGATAGTGCAGTTTTGAAACATTCTTTTTAAAAAATCTGCAATTGGACATTTGGAGCTCTTTTAGGCTATCGGTTGAAAAGGAAGTATCTTCACATTAAAACAAGACAGAAGCATTCTCAGAAACTCCTTTATGATGTCTGCATTCAACTCAAAGAGTTGAACCTTCCTTTTGATAGAGCAGTTTTGAAACACTCTTTCTGTAGAATCTGGAGGCGGATATTAGGGTGCTTTGAAGCCTTCTTGGGAAGCAGGATTATCTTCACATAAAAATTAGACAGAAACATTCTCAGAAACTTCTTTGTGATGTGTGCATTCAACTCACAGCGTTGAAACTTCCTTTTGCTAGAGCAGTTTTGAAACCCTCTTTTTGAACAATCTGAAAGTGCATAATTGCAGCACTTTGAGGCTTAAGGTAGAAAAGGAAATATCTTCATATAAAAACTAGACAGAAGCATTCTCAGAAACTACTTTGTGATGTGTGCATTATACTCACATAGTTGAAATTTCCTTCTGATACTGCAGTTTTGAAACCGTCTTTTTGAGCGATCTTCAAGTGGGCATTTTGAGGGCTTTGGGGACTATTGTGGATAAGGAAATATCTTCACATGAAAAGTAGACAGAAGTGTTCTCAGAAACTTCATTTTGATGGGTGCATTCAACTAACAAAGTACAACCTTACTTTTATAGAGCAGTTTTGAAACAGTCTTTTTGTAGACTCTGCAAGTGGATATTTGGAGCGCTTTGAAGCCTTCGTTGGAAACGGGAATATCTTCCCCTTGAAACTAGACAGAAGCATTCTCAGAAACTTCTTTGTGATGTGGGCATTGAACTCACGGAGCTGAACCTTCCTTTGGATTGAGCAGTTTAGAAAAACTCTTCCTTTATAATCTGCAGGTGGATATTTGGAGTGCTTTGAAGCCTTCTTTGGAAACGGGAGTATCGTCACATAAAAATAGACAGAAGTATTCCCAGAAACTTCTTTGTGATTTGTGCATTCAACTCACAGAGTTGAAGCTTCTTTTTGATAGAGCAGTTTTGAAACACCCTTTTTGCACAATCTGCAGGAGGATATTTGGAGCTCTTTGAGTGCTACATTGGAAAAGGGAATATCGTCACCTGAAAACTAGAAAGAAGCATTCTCTGAAACCACTTTGAAATGTGTGCATTCATCTCACAGAGTTGAACCTTCCTTTTGATAGAGCAGTTTTGAAACCCTCTTTTTGTACAATCTGCAAGTGGATATTTGGAGCAAATTGAAGCCTTCTTTGGAAATGGGAATATCTTAAAATTAAAAATTAGGCAGAAGCATTCTCAGAAACTACTTTGTGATGTGTGCATTCATCTCACAGAATTGAACCTTCCTTTTGATAGAGCAGTTTTGAAACACTCTTTTTTTAGAATCTGCCAGTGGATATTTGGAGCACATTTATGCCTATGGTAGAAAAGGAAATATCTTCACATAAAAACTAGACAGAAGCATTCTCAGAAACGAATTTGTGATGTGTGCATTCAACTCACAGAATTGAACCTTCCTTTTGATAGAGCAGTTTTGAAACACTCTTTTTTTAGAATCTGCCAGTGGATATTTGGAGCACATTTATGCCTATGGTAGAAAAGGAAATATCTTCACATAAAAACTAGACAGAAGCATTCTCAGAAACGAATTTGTGATGTGTGCGTTCAACTCACAGAATTGAACCTTCCTTTTGATAGAGCAGTTTTGAAACACTCTTTTTTTAGAATCTGCCAGTGGATATTTGGAGCACATTTATGCCTATGGTAGAAAAGGAAATATCTTCACATAAAAACTAGACAGAAGCATTCTCAGAAACGAATTTGTGATGTGTGCATTCTACTCCCATAGTTGAAAATTTCTTTTGGTAGAGCAGTCTGGAAACACTCTGTTTGTAAAATCTGCAAATGGACATTTGGAGCGCTTTGAAGGTTATGGTGGAAGAGGGAATATCTTCGCATTAAAACTAGACAGAAGCATTCTCAGAAACTTCTTTGTGATGTGTGCATTCAACTCCCAGGTTGAACCTTTCTTTTGTTAGAGCAGTTTTGAAACACTCCTTTTGTAGAATCTGCAGGCGGATATTTAAGTACTATTTGAAGCATTCTTTGGAAACGAGAATATCTTCACCTAAAACCTAGACAGAAGCATTCTCAGAAACGTCTTTGTGATGTGTCCACTCAACTCACAGAGTTGATAGAACAGTTTTGATAGAGCAGTTTTGAAACACTCTTTTTGAAGAATCTGCCAGTTCATATGTGCAGTGCTTTGAGGCTTATGGTAGAAAAGGAAATATCTTCATATAAAAACTAGACAGAAGCATTCTCAGAAACGACTTTGTGATGTGTGCATTCTACACACAAAGTTGAAACTTTCTTTTGATAGAGCAGTTTTGAAACAGTCTTTCCGAAGAATCTTCAAGTGGGCATTTCGAGGGCTTTGAGGACCATTGCGGATAAGGAAATATCTTCACATAAGAAGTAGACAGAAGTATAATCAGAAACTTCATTTTGATGTGTACATTCAACTCACAAAGCAGACCCTTACTTTTGATAGAGAAGTTTTGAAACACTCTTTTTGTAGAATCTGCAATTGGATATTTGGAGCGCTTTCAGGCCTCTGGTAGAAAAGGAAATATCTTCACATAAAAACTAGACAGAAGCATTCTCAGAAACGACTTTGTGATGTGTGTATTCTACTCCCATAGTTGAACATTTCTTTTGATAGAGCCGCCTGGAAACAATCTTCTTGTAGAATCTGCAAGTGGACATTTGGAGCGTTTTGAAGGCTGTGGTTGAAAAGGTAATATCTTCACCTAAAAACTAAATGGAAGCATTCTCCGAAACTTTTTGTGATGTGTGCGTTCAACTCACAGAGCTGAACCTTCCTTTTCTTAGACCAGTTTTGAATCACTCTTTTTCTAGAATCCGCATTTAGATATTTGGAGCGCTTTGAAGACTTCATTGGAATCGCGAATACCTTCACATAAAAACTAGACAGAACCATTCTCAGAAACTCCTTTGAGATGTGTGCATTCAACTCACAGAGCTGAACCTTTCTTTTGATAGTGCAGTTTTGAAACATTCTTTTTAAAAAATCTGCAGTTGGACATTTGGAGCTCTTTTAGGCTATCGGTTGAAAAGGAAGTATCTTCACATTAAAACAAGACAGAAGCATTCTCAGAAACTCCTTTATGATGTCTGCATTCAACTCACAGAGTTGAACCTTCCTTTTGATAGAGCAGTTTTGAAACACTCTTTCTGTAGAATATGGAGGCGGATGTTAGGGTGCTTTGAAGCCTTCTTGGGAAACAGGATTATCTTCACATAAAAATTAGACAGAAGCATTCTCAGAAACTTCTTTGTGATGTGTGCATTCAACTCACAGCGTTGAAACTTCCTTTTGCTAGAGCAGTTTTGAAACCCTCTTTTTGAAGAATCTGAAAGTGCATAATTGCAGCACTTTGAGGCTTAATGTAGAAAAGGAAATATCTTCATATAAAAACTAGACAGAAGCATTCTCAGAAACTACTTTGTGATGTGTGCATTCTACTCACATAGTTGAAATTTCCTTCTGATACTGCAGTATTGAAACCGTCTTTTTGAGGAATCTTCCAGTGGGCATTTTGAGGGCTTTGGGGACTATTGTGGATAAGGAAATATCTTCACATGAAAAGTAGACAGAAGTGTTCTCAGAAACTTCATTTTGATGGGTGCATTCAACTAACAAGGTAGAACCTTACTTTTATTGAGCAGTTTTGAAACAGTCTTTTTGTAGACTCTGCAAGTGGATATTTGGAGCGCTTTGAAGCCTTCGTTGGAAACGGGAATATCTTCCCCTTGAAACTAGACAGAAGCATTCTCAGAAACTTCTTTGTGATGTGGGCATTGAACTCACGGAGCTGAACCTTCCTTTGGATTGAGCAGTTTTGAAAAACTCTTCCTTTATAATCTGCAGGTGGATATTTGGAGTGCTTTGAAGCCTTCTTTGGAAACGGGAGTATCGTCACATAAAAATAGACAGAAGTATTCCCAGAAACTTCTTTGTGATTTGTGCATTCAACTCACAGAGTTGAAGCTTCTTTTTGATAGAGCAGTTTTGAAACACCCTTTTTGCACTATCTGCAGGAGGATATTTGGAGCTCTTTGAGTGCTACATTGGAAACGGGAATATCGTCACCTGAAAACTAGAAACAAGCATTCTCTGAAACCACGTTGTGATGTGTGCATTCATCTCACAGAGTTGAACCTTCCTTTTGATAGAGCAGTTTTGAAACCCTCTTTTTGGACAATCTGCAAGTGGATATTTGGAGCAAATTGAAGCCTTCTTTGGAAATGGGAATATCTTAAAATTAAAAATTAGGCAGAAGCATTCTCAGAAACTACTTTGTGATGTGTGCATTCAACTCACAGAATTGAACCTTCCTTTTGATAGAGCAGTTTTGAAACACTCTTTTTTTAGAATCTGCCAGTGGATATTTGGAGCACGTTTATGCCTATGGTAGAAAAGGAAATATCTTCACATAAAAACTAGACAGAAGCATTCTCAGAAACGAATTTGTGATGTGTGCATTCTACTCCCATAGTTGAAAATTTCTTTTGGTAGAGCAGTCTGGAAACACTCTGTTTGTAAAATCTGCAAATGGACATTTGGAGCGCTTTGAAGGTTATGGTGGAAGAGGGAATATCTTCGCATTAAAACTAGACAGAAGCATTCTCAGAAACTTCTTTGTGATGTGTGCATTCAACACCCAGGTTGAACTTTTCTTTTGTTAGAGCAGTTTTGAAACACTCCTTTTGTAGAATCTGCAGGCGGATATTTAAGTACTCTTTGAAGCATTCTTCGGAAACGAGAATATCTTCACCTAAAACCTAGACAGAAGCATTCTCAGAAAAGTCTTTGTGATGTGTCCATTCAACTCACAGAGTTGATAGAACAGTTTTGATAGAGCAGTTTTGAAACACTCTTTTTAAAGAATCTGCCCGTTCATATGTGCAGTGATTTGAGGCTTATGGTAGTAAAGGAAATATCTTCATATAAAAACTAGACAGAAGCATTCTCAGAAACGACTTTGTGATGTGTGCATTCTACACACAAAGTGGAAACTTTCTTTTGAGAGAGCAGTTTTGAAACAGTCTTTCCGAAGAATCTTCAAGTGGGCATTTCGAGGGCTTTGAGGACCATTGCGGATAAGGAAATATCTTCACATAAGAAGTAGACAGAAGTATAATCAGAAACTTCATTTTGATGTGTACCTTCAACTCACAAAGCAGACACTTACTTTTGATAGAGAAGTTTTGAAACACTCTTTTTGTAGAATCTACTATTGGACATTTGGAGCGCTTTCAGGCCTCTGGTAGAAAAGGAAATATCTTCACATAAAAACTAGACAGAAGCATTCTCAGAAACGACTTTGTGATGTGTGTATTCTACTCCCATAGTTGAACATTTCTTTTGATAGAGCAGCCTGGAAACAATCTTCTTGTAGAATCTGCAAGTGGACATTTGGAGCGTTTTGAAGGCTGTGGTTGAAAAGGTAATATCTTCACCTAAAAACTAAATGGAAGCATTCTCCGAAACTTTTTGTGATGTGTGCGTTCAACTCACAGAGCTGAACCTTCCTTTTCATAGACCAGTTTTGAATCACTCTTTTTGTAGAATCCGCATTTAGATATTTGGAGCGCTTTGAAGACTTCATTGGAATCGCGAATATCTTCACATAAAAACTAGACAGAAGCATTCTCAGAAACTTCTTCGAGATGTGTGCATTCAACTCACAGAGCTGAACCTTTCTTTTGATAGTGCAGTTTTGAAACATTCTTTTTAAAAAATCTGCAGTTGGACATTTGGAGCTCTTTTAGGCTATCGGTTGAAAAGGAAATATCTTCACATTAAAACAAGACAGAAGCATTCTCAGAAACTCCTTTATGATGTCTGCATTCAACTCACAGAGTTGAACCTTCCTTTTGATAGAGCAGTTTTGAAACACTCTTTCTGTAGAATCTGGAGGCGGATATTAGGGTGCTTTGAAGCCTTCTTGGGAAACAGGATTATCTTCACATAAAAATTAGACAGAAGCATTCTCAGAAACTTCTTTGTGATGTGTGCATTCCACTCACAGCGTTGAAACTTCCTTTTGCCAGAGCAGTTTTGAAACCCTCTTTTTGAAGAATCTGAAAGTGCATCATTGCAGCACTTTGAGGCTTAAGGTAGAAAAGGAAATATCTTCATATAAAAACTAGACAGAAGCATTCTCAGAAACTACTTTGTGATGTGTGCATTCTACTCACATAGTTGAAATTTCCTTCTGATACTGCAGTATTGAAACCGTCTTTTTGAGGAATGTTCGAGTGGGCATTTTGAGGGCTTTGGGGACTATCGTGGATAAGGAAATATCTTCACATGAAAAGTAGACAGAAGTGTTCTCAGAAACTTCATTTTGATGGGTGCATTCAACTAACAAAGTACAACCTTACTTTTATAGAGCAGTTTTGAAACAGTCTTTTTGTAGACTCTGCAAGTGGATATTTGGAGCGCTTTGAAGCCTTCGTTTGAAACGGGAATATCTTCCCATTGAAACTAGACAGAAGCATTCTCAGAAACTTCTTTGTGATGTGGGCATTGAACTCACGGAGCTGAACCTTCCTTTTGATTGAGCAGTTTTGAAAAACTGTTTTTGTAGTATCTGCAGGTGGATATTTGGTGCTCTTTGAATCCTTCATTGGAAACGGGAATATCTTCACATAAAAACTAGAAAGAAGCATTCTCAGAAACCAGTTTGTGGTGTGTGCTTTCAACTTCGTTGAACCTTCGTTTTGATAGAGCAGTTTTGAAATTCTTATTTTGTAGAATCTGCAAGTGGATATTTGGAACGTATTGAAGCCTTCATTGAAAATGGGAATATCTTCACATAAAAACTAGAGAGAAACTTTCTGAGAACCTACTTTGTGATTTGTGCATTCAACTCACAGATCTGAACCTCCCCTTAGATGTAGGAGTTTTGAAACACTCTTTTTTGTAGAATCTGCAAGTGGAAATTTGGACTGCTTTTAGAACTACGGTATAACAGGGAAAATCTTCATATAAAATCTACACTGAAGCATTCTCAGAAACCACTTTGTGATGACTGCATTCTACTCCCAGAGTTGAACCTTTCTTTTAAAAGAGCAGTTTAGAAACACTCTTTTTGTAGAATCTGCATGTGGACATTTGGAGCACTTTGAAGCCTCCGTTGGAAACATGAATATCTTCACATAAAAACTACACAGAAACATTCTCAGAAACTTCTTTGTGATGTGTGCATTCAACTCACAGATTTCAACCTTCTTTTTGATAGAGCAGTTTTGAAACACTCTTTTTTTAGAATCTGCAGGTGAACACTTGGAGCTCTTTGGGGCCTTCTGTGGAAAAGGATATACCTTCATATTAAAACTTGGCAGAAGCATTCTGAGAAACTTCTTTGTGATGAGTGCATTCAACTCAAAGTGTTGAAGTTTCCTTTTGATAGAGCAGTTTTGAAACACTCTTTTTGTAGAATCTGCAGGTGTATATTTGGAGCGCTTTGAAACCTTCGTTGGAAACGGGAATATCTTCACATAAAAATTACACAGAAACATTCTCAGAAATTTCTTTGTGATGTGTGCTTTCAACTTACAGAACTGAACCTTTCTTTTGATAGTGCAGTTTTGAAACACTCTTTTTATAGAATCTGCAGTTGGACATTTGGAGCTCTTTTAGGCTTGTAGTGGAAAAGGAAATATCTTCACATTAAAACTAGACAGAAGCATTCTCAGAAACTTCTTTGTGATGTGTGCATTCAACTCACAGATTTGTATCTTCATACAAAAACTAGACAGAAGCATTCACAGAAACTACTTTGTGATGTGTCCATTCTACTCTCACAGTTGAAACTTTCTTCTGATAGAGCAGATTGGAAACAGTCTTTGTGAAGAATCTTCAAGTGTGCATTTGGAGGGCTTTGACAGCTATTGTCGAAAAGGAAATATCTTCACATAAAAACTAGACAGAAGTATTCTCATAAAATTCATTTTGATGTGTGCATTCAACTCACAAAGTAGAACTTTACTTTCGATAGAGCAGTTTTGAAACACTCTTTTTGTAGAATCTGCAAGTGGATATTTGGAGCACTTTGAAGCTTTCATTGAAAACTGGAATATCTTCACTTAAAAACTAGACGGAAGCATTCTCAGAAACTTCTTTCTGTTGTGTGCATTGAAACCACAGAGCTGAACTTTTCTTTTTATAGAACAGTTTTGAAACACTCTTTTTGTAGCATCAGCAGGTGGATATTTGGAGCGCTTTGAAGCCTTTGTTGGAAACGGGAATATCTTCACATAAAAACTAGACAGAAGCATTCTCACAAACTTATTTGTGATGTGTGCATTCAACTTACAGAATTGAACCTTCCTTTTGATAGAGCAGTTTTGAAACACTCTTTTTGTACAATCTGCAATAGGATATTTTGAGCTCTTTGAAGCCTTCATTGGAAATGGGAATATCTTCACATAAAAACTAGACAGAAGCATTCTCAGAAACTTCTTTGTGATGCTTGCATTCAACTCACAGATTTGAACGTTCCTTTTGATAGAACAGTTTTGAAACACTCTGTTTGTAGAATCTAAAAGTGGGTATTTTGAGTGCATTGAGGCCTGTGGTAGAAAAGGAAATATCTTCAGATAAAAACTAGACAGAAGCATTCTCAGAAGCGACTTTGTGATGTGTGCATTCTACTCCCATAGTTGAACCTTTCTTTTGATAGAGCAGTCTGGAAACACTCTTTTTGTCGAATCTGCAAATGGACTTTTGGAGCGCTTTGAAGGCTATGGTGGAAAAGGAAATATCTTCACATAAAAACTAGACGGAAGCATTCTCAGAAACTTCTTTGTGTTGTGTTCATTCAACTCACATAGTTGAACTTTACTTTTGATAGAGCAGTTTGGAAGCCCTTTTTTATTAAGTCTGCAGGAGGATATTTGGAGCTCTTTGAATCCTTCGTTGGAAACGGGAATAGCTTCATATAAATACTAGAAAGAAGCATTCTCAGAAACCACTTTGTGATGTGTGCATTCAACTCACACAGTTGAACCTTCCTTTTGATAGAGCAGTTTGGAAACACTCTTTTTGTAGAATGTGCATGTAGATATTTGTAGCGAATAGAAGCCTTCGTTTGAAATAGGAATATCTTCACCTAAAAACTAGATGGAAGCATTGTCAGAAAGTCCTTTGTGATGTGTGCATTCAACTCACAGAACTGAACCTTCCTTCAGATAGAGAAGTTTTGAAACACTCTTTTTGTAGAATCTGCATTTACATCTTTGGAGCGCTTTGAAGTCTTCGTTGGAAACGCAAATACCTTCACATAAAAAATAGACGGAGCCATTCTCAGAAAATTATTTGTGATGTGTGCATTCAACTCACAGAGTTGAACCATCTTTTTGATAGAGCAGTTTTGAAACAGTCTTTTTGTAGAATCTGGAGGCGCATATTTAGAGCGCTTTGAAGCCTTCCTTGGAAATGGGATTATCTTCACATAAAAACTAGACAGCTTTCTACATATGGCTAGTCAGTTTTCCCAGCACCATTTATTAAAGAGGGAATCCTTTCCCCATTGCTTGTTTTTCTCAGGTTTGTCAAAGATCAGATAGTTGTAGATATGCGGCGTTATTTCTGAGGGCTCTGTTCTGTTCCGTTGATCTATATCTCTGTTTTGGTACCAGTACCATGCTGTTTTGGTTACTGGAACCTTGTAGTATAGTTTGAAGTCAGGTAGTGTGATGCCTCCAGCTTTGTTCTTTTGGCTTAGGATTGACTTGGTGATGCGGGCTCTTTTTTGGTTCCATATGAACTTTAAAGTAGCTTTTCCAATTCTGTGAAGAAAGGCATTGGTAGCTTGATGGGGATGGCACTGAATCTGCAAATTACCTTGGGCAGTATGGCCATTTTCACGATATTGATTCTTCCTACCCATGAGCGTGGAATGTTCTTCCATTTGTTTGTATCCTCTTTTATTTCCTTGAGTAGTTGTTTGTAGTTCTCCTTGAAGAGGTCCTTCACATCCCTTGTAAGTTGGATTCCTAGGTATTTTATTCTCTTTGAAGCAATTGTGAATGGGAGTTCACTCATGATTTGGCTCTCTGTTTGTCTGTTGTTGGTGTATAAGAATGCTTGTGATTTTTGTACATTGATTTTGTATCCTGAGACTTTGCTGAAGTTGCTTATCGGCTTAAGGAGATTTTGGGCTGAGACAATGGGGTTTTCTAGATATACAATCATGTTGTCTGCAAACAGGGACAATTTGACTTCCTCTTTTCCTAATGGAATACCCTTTATTTCCTTCTCCTGCCTAATTGCCCTGGCCAGAACTTCCAACACTATGTTGAATAGGAGTGGTGAGAGAGGACATCCCTGTCTTGTGCCAGTTTCAAAGGAAATGCTTCCAGTTTTTGCCCATTCAGTACGATATTGGCGGTGGGTTTGTCATAGATAACTCTTAATTATTTTGAAATACGTCCCATCAATACCTAATTTATTGAGAGTTTTTAGCATGAAGGGTTGTTGAATTTTGTCAAAGGGCTTTTCTGCATCTATTGAGATAATCATGTGGTTTTTGTCTTTGGTTCTGTTTATATGCTGGATTACATTTATTGATTTGCATATATTGAACCAGCCTTGCATCCCAGGGATGAAGCCCACTTGATCATGGTGGATAAGCTTTTCGATGTGCTGCTGGATTCTTTTTGCCAGTATTTTATTGAGGATTTTTGCATCAATGTTCATCAAGGTTATTGGTCTAAAATTCTCTTTTTTTGAAAGCTGAAACTGGATCCCTTCCTTACACCTTATACCAAAATCAATTCAAGATGGATTAAAGACTTAAACGCTAGACCTAAAACCATAAAAACCCTAGAAGAAAACCTTGACATTACCATTCAGGACACAGGCATGGGCAAGGACTTCATGTCTAAAACACCAAAAGCAATGGCAACAAAAGACAAAATTGACAAATGGGATCTAATTAAACTGAAGAGCTTGTGCACAGCCAAAGACACTATCATCAGAGTGAACATGCAACCTACAAAATGGGAGAAAATTTTCGCAACCTACTCATCTGACAAAGGGCTAATATCCAGAATCTACAATGAACTCAAACAAATTTACAAGAAAAAAATAAACAACCCCATCAAAAAGTGGGCAAAGGACATGAACAGACACTTTTCAAAAGAAGACATTTATGCAGCCAAAAAACACATGAAAAAATGCTCATCACCACTGGCCATCAGAGAAATGCAAATCAAAACCACAATCAGATACCATCTCACACCAGATAGAATGGCAATCGTTAAAAAGTCAGGAAACAACAGGTGCTGGAGAGGATGTGGAGAAATAGGAACACTTTTACACTGTTGGTGGGACTGTAAACTAGTTCAACCATTGTGGAAGTCAGTGTGGCGATTCCTCAGGGATCTAGAACTGGAAGTACCATTTGACCCAGCCATCCTATTACTGGGTATATACCCAAAGGACTATAAATCATGCTGCTATAAAGACATATGCACACGTATGTTTATTGCAGCATTATTCACAATAGCAAAGACTTGGAACCAACCCAAATGTCCAACAATGATAGATTGGATTAAGAAAATGTGGCACATATACACCATGGAATACTATGCAGCCATAAAAAAGGGTGAGTTCATGTCCTTTGTAGGGACATGGATGAAATTGGAAATCATCATTCTCAGTAAACTATTGCAAGAACAAAAAACCAAACACCACATATTCTCTCTCATAGTTGGGAATTGAACAATGAAATCACATGGACACAGGAAGGGGAACTTCACACTCTGGGGACTGTTGTGGGGTGGGGGGAGGGGTGAGGGATAGCATTGGGAGATATATCTAATGCTAGATGACGAGTTGGTGGGTGCAGCGCATCAGCATGGCACATGTATACATATGTATCTAACCTGCACAATGTGCAAATGTACCCTAAAACTTAAAGTATAAAAAGAAAAAAGAAAAAAAAAACTAGTCAGAATCATTCTGAGAAGCTTCTCTGTGATGTGTGTATTCAACTCACAGAGTTAAACATATCTTTTGATGGAGCAGTTCAGAATCTCTCTTTTTGTAGAATCTGCAAGTGGATATTTGGAGCTCTTTGCATCCTAGGGTTGAAAAGGAAATATCTTCACGTAAAAAGTACACATAATCATTCTCAGAAATTTCTTCATGATATGTGCATTCAACTCACAGAGTTGAACATATATTTTGATGGAGCAGTTTTGAATCTCTCTTTTTGTACAATCTGACAGTGGATATGTGGAGAGCTATGACGCCTACTGTGTATAATCAAATAGCTTCATACGAAAACTACACAGAAGCATTCTGAGAATCTTCTTTTTGATGTGTGCATTCATATCACAGACGTGAACCTTTCTTTTGATTGAGCCCATTTGAAATACACTTTTTGTAGTATCTGCAGGTGTATATTTGTTGCCCTTTACCCCCTATGGTGGAAAAGGAAACATCTTCAAATAAAAACTACACAGAAGCATTCAGAGAAACTCCTTTATGATGTATGCATTCACCTCACGGAGTTGAACCTAACTCTTGATTGAGCAGTCTTGAATGTCTTTTTTTGCAGAATCTGCAGGTGGCTATTTGGTGCCTTTTGAGGCCAGCTGTGGGACAGCAAATATCTTCACATAAAAACTACACAGAAGCATTCTGAGAAACTTCATTGTGATATGTCCAATCAACTCACAGAGTGGAACCTATCTTTTGAATGAGCAGTTTTGAATCTCTCCTTTTACAGATTCTGCAAGTGGACGTTCAGAGAGCTTTGAGGCCTATTGTGGAAAATGGAATATCTTCACAGAAAAACTACAGAGAAGCATTCTGAGAAACTTCTTTGGGAGGTGTGCGTTCAACTCACAGAGATGAACTTATCTTCTCATTGAGCAGTTTTGAATCTTACTTCCTGTAGAATCTGCAAGAAGGTATTTGGAGCGCTTTGAGGCCAACCGTGGAAAAGCAAATATATTCAGGTAAAAACTACACAGAAGCATTCTTGGAAACTTCTTTGTGATGCGCGTATTCGTCTCACAGAGTTGAACCTTTCTTTTGATTGAGCAGTTTTGAAACACTCTTTTTGAAGAATCTGCAAGTGGATATTTGGAGCCTTTTGAGGCCTGTTGTGGAAAAGGAAATATCTTCACATAAAAGCTACACAGAGGCATTCTGAGAAACTTCTTGTGATGTGTGCATTCAACTCACAGAGTTAAACCTATCTTTTGATTGAGCAGTGAAAAACTCTTTTTTTGTAGATTGTGCAAGTGTATATTTGGAGCCCTTTGAGTCCTATTGTGGAAGGGAAATATCTTCACATAAAAACTACTCAGAAACATTCTGAGAAACTTCTTTGTGATGTGTGCATTCAACTCACTGATTTGAACCTATCTTTTGATTAAGCAGTTTAGAATCTCTTTTTGTGTAGAATCTGCATTTGGTATTTTTACCCCTTTGCACCCTCTGGTGAAAAAAGAAATATCTTCAAATAAAAACTACCCAGAAGCATTCTCAGAAACTTCTTGGTTGTGTGTGCTTTCAACTCACAGAGTTGAAACTGTCTTTTGAGAGATCAGTTTTTAATCTCTCTTTTTGCAGAATCTGCAAGTGGATGTTTGGAGAGCTATGAGGCCTATTGTGGAAATGGAAATATCTCTACATGAAAACCACAGAGAAGCATTCTGAGAAGCTTCTTTGTGAGCTGTGCATTCAACTCACTGAGTTGAATTTAGCTTCTAAAAGAGCACTTTTGAATCTCTGTTTTTGTAGTATCTGCAATTGGCTATTTGGAACCCTTTGCGCCCTGTAGTGGAAAAGGAAATATCTTCAAATAAAAACTACACAGAAGCATTCTCAGAAACTTCTTCGTGATGTCTGCATTCAACACACACTGTTGAACCTATCTTTTGATTGAGCAGTTTTGAATCTCTCTTGTGGAAACTGCAAGTGGATATTTGGAGTGATGTGAGGCCTACTGTGGAAAACCAAATACGTTCACATAAAACCTACAAAGAATCATTCTGTGAAACTTCGTTGTGATGTGTGCATTTAACTCATAGAGTTGAACCTATGTTTCGTTTAAGCAGTTTGGAATCTCTCTTTTTGCAGAATCTGCAAATGGATGTTGGGAGAGCTTTGAGGCCTAGAGTGGAAAAGTAAATATCTTCACATGAAAACTACAGAGAAGCATTCTGAGAAACGTCTTCATGAGGTGTGCATTCAACTCACAGATCTGAAGTTATCTTCTCATTGAGCAGTTTTGAAACTCATCATTTTTAGAATCTGCAAGTTGATATTTGGAGCCCTTTGCGCCCATTGGTGGAAAAGGAAATATCTTCAAATAAAAACTACATAGAAACATTCTGAGAAGCTTCTTGGTGATGTGTGCCTTCATCTCACAGGGTTGAACCTATCTTATGATTGAGCAGTTTTGAAACACTCTTTTTGCAGAATCTGCAAGTGGATATTTGGAGCCCTTTGCCGCCTTTGGTGTAAAAGGAAATATCTTCAAATAAAAACTACTGAGAAGCATTCTGAGAAACTTCTTTGTGATGTGTGCATTCACCTCACAGAGTTGAACCTATCTTTTGATTGAGCAGTTTAGAATCTCTTTTTCTAGAATCTGCAAGTGGATATTTGTAGCGCTGTGAGGCCTACTGGGTAAAATCAAATGTGTTCACAGAAAAACTACACAGCGTTCTCAGAAACGTCTTTGTGATGTGTGGATTCAACTCACAGAGTTGAACCTATCTTTTGATAGAGCAGATTTGAATCTCTCTTTTTGCAGAATCTGCAATTGGATGTTTGGAGAGCTTTTATGCCTCTTGTGGAAAAGGAAATATCTTCACATAAAAACTACACAGAAGCACTTTGAGAAACTTCTTTGAGAGGTGTGCATTCAATTCATAGAGTTGAACTTATCTTGTCAGTTAGCAGTATTCCATCTCTCTTTGTGTAGATTCTGTAAGTGGATATTTGGAGCCCTTTGCACCCTGTGGTGGAAAAGAAATTATCTTCAAATAAAAACTACACAGAAGCATTGAGAGAAACTCCTTTGTGATGTATGCATTCAACTCACAGAGTTGAACATATATTTTCAATGAGCAGTTTTGAATCTCTCTTTTTGTAGAATCTGCATCTGGTTATTTGGAGCCCTTTGAGGCCTACTGTGGAAAAGCAAATATTTTCAAATAAAAACTACACAGAAGCATTCAGAGAAACTTCTTTGTGATGTATGCATAGAACTTACAGAGTTGAACCTATCTTTTGATTGAGCAGTTTTGAATCTCTCTTTTTGCAGAATCTGCAGGTGGATATTTGGAGCTCTTTGATGGCTACTGTGGAAAAGCAAATATCTTCAAATAAAAACTACACAGTAGCATTGTGTGAAACTTCTTGGGGATGTGTGCGTTCATCTCACAGAGTTGAAACTATATTTTGATTAGGCAGTTTTGAATCTGTCTCTTTGCAGAATCTGCAAGTGCATATTAGGAGCCCTTTGCGGTCTATGGTGGAAAAGGAAATATCTTCAAATAAAAACTACACAGAAGAATTATCAGAAACTTCTTCATGATGTGTGCATTCAACTCACAGAGTTGAACCTATGCTTTGATTCAGCAGTTTTGAATCTCTCTTTTTGGAGAATCTGCAAGTGGGCATTTAGAGCTCTTTGAGGCCTACTGTGGAAAAGCAAATATTTTCACATAAAAACTACAAAGAAGCATTCTGAGGAACTTCTTTTTGATGTGTGCATTCAACTCACAGAGTTGAATCTATACTTTGATTGAGCAGTTTTGAATCTCTCTTTTTAGAGAATCTCCAAGTGGACATTTGGAGCACTTTGATGCCTATTGTGGAAAAGGAAATATCTTCACATAAATAGTACTCAGAAGCATTCTGAGAAACTTCTTTGTGATGTGTGCATTCAACTCACAGTGTCCAGCCTCTCATGATTGAGCAGTTTTGAATCTCTCTTTTTGTAGAATCTGCAAGTGGATATTTGGAGCCCTTTGTGGCCTATGGTGGAAAGGAAATATCTTCCAATTAAAACTACACAGATGCATTCTGAGAAACTTCTCCATGATGTGTGCATTGAACTCACAGCGTCAAACCTATCTTACGATTGAGCAGTTTTGACACTCTTTTTGTAGAATCTGCAGGTGGATATTTGGCGTGCCTTGAGGCCTATTGTGGAAAAGGAAATATCTTCATATAAAAACTACACAGAAGCATTCTGAGAAACTTCTTTTTGATGTGTGCATTCAATTCACAGAGTTGAATCTTTCTTTTGATTGAACAGTTTTGAAACACTCTTTTTGTACAATCTGCAAGTGGATAATTGGAGCCCTTTGAGGCCTATTGTGGAAAAGGAAATATCTTCACATAAAAACTACTCAGAAGCATGCTGAGAAACTTCTTTGTGATGTGTGCATTCAACTCACAGAGTTGAACCTATCTTTTGATTGAGCAGTTTAGAATCTCTCTGTTTGTAGAATCTGCAAGTAGGTATTTGGAGCCGTTTGTGCCCTGTAGTGGAAAAGGAAATATCTTCAAATAAAAACTACACAGAAGCATTCTCAGAAACTTCTTCATGATGTGTGCATTCACCTCACAGAGTTGAACCTATCTTTTGATTGAGCAGTTTTGAATCTCTCTTTTTGTAGAATCTGCTAGTGGTTATTTGGAGCTCATTGCACCCTATGGTGGAAATGGAAATATCTTCAAATAAAAACTACACGGAAGCATTCTGAGAAACTTCTTTGAGATATGTGCATTCAACTCACAGAGGTGAACCTATCTTTTGATTGAGCAGTTTTCAATCTCTCTTTTTGCAGAATGTGCAAGTGGATATTTGGAGCCCTTTGTGGCTTGTGGTCGAAAAGGAAATATTTTCAAATAAAAACTACACAGAAACATTCTGAGAAACTTCTTTGTGATGTATGCATTCATCTCACAGGGTTGAACCTATCTTACGGTTGAGCAGTTTCGAAACACTCTTTTTCTAGAATCTACATGTGGATATTTGGAGCACTTTGAGGCCTACCGTGGAAAAGCCAATAACTTCAGATAAATACTACACAGAAGCATTCTGAGAAACTTCGTTGTGATGTGTGCATTCATCTCACAGAGTTGAACCTTTCTTTTGATGAGCAGTTTTGAAACACTTTTCGTACAATCTGCAAGTGGATATTTGGAGCCTTTTGAGGCCTTTTGTGGAAAAGGAAATATCTTCACATAAAAACTACACAGAAACATTCTGAGAAACTTCTTTGTCATGTGTGCATTCAATTCACAGAGTTGAATCTTTCTTTTGATTGAACAGTTTTGAAACACTTTTTTTGTACAATCTGCAAGTGGATAATTGGAGCCATTTGAGGTCTATTGTGGAAAAGAAAATACCTTCAATTAAAAACTACTCAGAAGCATTCTGAGAAACTTCTTTGTTATGTGTGCAGTCAACTCACAGAGTTGAACCTATCTTTTTATTGTACAGTTTTGAATCTCTCTTTTTGTAGAATCTGCAAGTGGATATTTAAGGTGCTGTGAGGCCTACTGTGCAAAATATGTTCACATAAAAACTACACAGAAGCATTCTGAGAAACTTCTTTTTGATGTGTGCATTCAACTCACAGAGTTGAACCTATCTTCTGATTGAGCAGTTTGGAATCTCTCTTTTTGCAGAATCTGCAAGTGGATGTTAGGAGTGCTTTTACACCTATTGTGGAAAAGGAAATATCTTCACATAAAAACTACACAGAAGAATTCTGAAAAAATTTTGTGTGGTGTGTATTCAACTCACGGAATTGAACATTTCTTTTGATTGAACAGTTTTGAAATACTTTTTGTTGAATCTTCAAGTGGATATTTGGAGTCCTTTGAGGCCTATTGTGGAGAAGGAATTATCTTTACATAAAAACTACACAGAAGCATTCTGAGAAACTTCTTTATGATTTGTATATTCAACTTTCAGGGTTGAACCTATCTTTTGATTGAGCAGTTTAGTATCTCTCTTTTTGTAGAATCTGCAAGTGGATATTTGGAGCTCTTTGCTCCCTGTGGTGGAAAAGGGAATATCTTCAAATAAAACCTACACAGAAGCATTCTCAGAAATTTCTTCATGATGTGTGCATTCAACTCACAGAATTGAACCTATGCTTTGATTGAGCAGTTTGAATCTCTCTTGCTGTAGATTCTGCAAGTGGACATTTGGAGCACTTTGAGGCCTATAGCTGAAAAGGAAATGTCTTCACATAAAAACTAGACAGAAGCATTCTGAGAAACTTCTTTGGGATATGTGCACTCAACTCACAGCGTTGAACCTATCTTATGATTGAGTAGTTTTGAAACACTTTTTTTGTAGAATCTGCAGGTGGATATTTGGAGTGCCTTGAGGTCTATTGTGGAAAAGGTAATATCTTCACATAAAAACTATACAGAAACATGCTGAGAAACTACTTTGTGATGTGTGCATTCATCTCACAGAGTTGAACCTTTTTTTTATTGAGCACTTTTGAAACACTGTTTTTGAAGAATCTACAGGTGGATATTTGGAGCACTTTGAGGCCTACTGTGGAAAAGAAAATATCTTCACATAAATAATACACAGAAGCATTTTGAGAAACTACTTCATGATGTGCACATTCATCTCACAGAGTTGAACATTTCTTATGATTGAGCAGACTGGAAACATTCTTTTTGTAGAATCTGCAAGTGGTTATTTGGAGTGCTTTGAGTCCTAATGTGGAAAAGGAAATATCTTCACATAAAAACTACTCAGAAGAATTCAGAGAAACTTCTTTTTGATGTGTGCATTCACCTCACATAGTTGATCCTTTCTTTTGATTGAGCAGGCTTGAAGCACTCTTTTTCCTTTTTTATTTCATTTTTTATTATTTTTTTATTTTTTTTTATTTTTTTATTATTATACTTTAAGTTTTAGGGTACATGTGCACAATGTGCATGTTAGTTACATATGTAGCACTCTATTGATAGAACCCAGAAGTGGATATTTGGAGGACTTTGAGGCCTATTTTGGAAAAGAAATATCATCACCTAAAAACTACACAGAAATATTCTGAGATACTTCTTTGTTATGTGTGCATTAAACTCACAGAACTGAAGGTATGTTTTGGTTGAGCAGTTTGGAGTCTCTGTTTTTGGACAATCTGAAAGTGGACATTTGGAGCGCTTTGAGGCCTACTGTGGAAAAGCAAATATCTTCACATAAAAACTACACAGAAGCATTCTGAGGAACTTCTCTGTGATGTGTGCATTCAACTCACAGAGTCCAACCTATCTTTTGATTGAGCAGTTTTGAATCTCTCTTTTTGAAGAAACTGCAAGTGGATATTTTGAGCCCTATGCAGCCTATGGTGGAAAAAGAAATATCTTCAAATAAAAACTAAACAGAAGCATTCTGAGAAACTTCTTTGTGATATTTGCATTCATCTCACAGCGTTGAACGTATCTTATGATTGAGCAGTTTTGTAACACTCTTTTTGTAGAATCTGCAAGTGGATGTTTGGAGTGCCTTGAGGCCTATTGTGGAAAAGGAAATATCTTCACATAAAAACTACATGGAAGCATTCTGAGAAACTTCTTTGTGATGTGTGCAATCATCTCACAGAGTTGATCTTTTCTTTTGATTGAACAGTTTTGAAACACTGTTTCTGTAAAATCTGCAAGTGGATATTTGGAGCGCTTTGAGGCCTACTGTGGAAAAGCAAATATATTCACATGAAAACTACACAGAAGCATTCTGAGAAACTTCGATGTGAGAGGTGCATTCAACTCACAGAGTCGAACCTATCTTTTGATTGAGCAGTTTTGAATCTCCCTTTTGGCAGAATCTGCAAGTGGGTATTAGTAGAGCTTTGAGGCCTACTGTGGAAAATGAAATATCTTCACACAAAAACCACACAGAAGAATTCTGAGAAGCTTCTTTGTGATGTGTGCATTCAACTCAGATAGTGGAACCTATCTTTTGATTGGGCTGTTTTGAATCTCTCTTTTTGTAGTATCTGCAAGTGGATATTTGGAGCCCTTTGTGGCCTATGGAGGAAAAGGAAATATCTTCAAATAAAAACTACAGAAAAGCATTCTGAGAAACTTCTTTGTGATGTGTGCATTCATCACACTGGATAGAACCTCTTATGATTGAGCAGTTTGGAAACACTCTTTTTATAGAATCTGCAAGTGTATATTTGGAGGGCTTTGAAGCCGTTTGTGGAAAAGGAAATATCTTCACATAAAACTACACAGAAGCATTCTGAGAAAGTTGTTTGTGATATGGGCACTCATCTCACAGAGTTGATCCTTTCTTTTGATTGAGCAGTTTTGAAACACTTTTTGAAGAATCTGGAAGTGGATGTTTGGAGGGCTTTGAGTCCTCTTTTGGAAAAGGAAATATCTTCACATAAAAACTACACAGAAGGATTCTGAGAAACTTCTTTGTTATGTGTGCATTCAACTCACAGTGTTGAACCCATGCTTTGAATGAGCAGTTTTTAATCTCTCTTTTTGGAGAATCTGCAAGTGGAAATTTGGAGAGCTTTGAGGCCTACTGTGGAAAAGCAAATATCTTCACATAAAAACTACACAGAAGCATTCGGAGAAACTTCTTTTTGATGTGTGCATTCATCTCACATAGTTGAAACTCTCTTTTATTTGAATAGTTTGGAAACACTCTTTTTGCAGTATCTGCAAGGGGACATTTGGCACACTTTGCTGCCAATGGTAGAAAAGGTAATATCTTCACATACATACTAGACGGAAGCATTCTGAGAAACTTCTTTGTGATGTGTGCGTTCATCTCACCGAGTTGAACCTCTCTTTTGATTGAGCAGTTTGGAAACACTCTTTTTGTAGAATCTGCTAGTGGACATTTGGAGCGCTCTGGAGTCTATGGTAGAAAAGGCAAAATCTTCAACTAAAATCTAGTAAGAAGGAATCTGAGAAACTTCTTTGTGCTGGGTACATTCATCTCACAGAGTTAAACCTTTCTCTTGATTGAGCAGTTTTGAACTCTCTTTTTGTAGAATATGCAAGTGGACATTTGGAGTGCTTTAAGGCCTAAGGTGGAAAAGGAAACGTCTTCGCATAAAAACTAGACAGAATAATTCGAGAAACTACTTTGTTATGTGTGCATTCATCTCACAGAGTTGAAACTTTCTTTTGATTGAACAGTTTGGAAGCACTGTTTTTGTAGAATCTGCAAGTGGACATTTGGAGCTCTTTGTGGCCTATGGCGGCAAAGGAAATATCTTCACATAAAATCTAGACAGAAGCAATCTGAGAAACTTCTTTGTGATGTGTGCATTCATCTCACAGAGATAAACCTTTCTTTAGATTGAGCAGTTTTGAAATTCTCTTTTTGTATAATCTGCAAGTGGACATTTTGACTGATTTGAGGCCTATGGTGGAAAAGGAAATATCTTCACATAAACATTAGACAGAAGAATTCTGAGAAACTTCTTTGTGAGGTGTACGTTCATCTCATCGAGTTGAACTTTTGTTTGGAAACACTCTTTTTGAAGAAAATGCAAGTAGACATTTGGAGTGCTTTGTGGCTTATGGTAGAAAACGAAATACCTTCACATAAAATCTAGACAGAAGCAATCTGAGAAACTTCTTTGTGATGTGTGCAATCATCTCACAGAGTTAAACCTTTCTATTAATTGAGCAGTTTTGAAACTCTCTTTTTGTAGAATCTGCAAGTGGATATTTGGAGGGCTTTGAGGCCTGTGGTGGAAAAGGAAATATCTTCTCATAAAAACTAGACAGAAGAATTCTGAGAAATTTCTTTGTGATGTGTGCTTTCCTCTCACAGAGTTCAACATTCCTTTTGATTGAGAAGTTTGGAAACACTCTTTTTGTAGAATCAGCAAGTTGACATTTGGAGAGCTTCACGGCCTGTGGTAGAAAAGGAACTATCTTCACATAAAATCTAGACAGAAGCAATCTGAGAAATTTCTTTGTGGTGTGTGCATTCCTCTCATTGAGTTAAACCTTTCTTTTGATTGAGCAATATTGAAGCTCACATTTTGTAGAATCTGCAATTGGACATTTGGAGTGCTTTGAGGAGTATGGTGGATAAGGAATAACTTCACACAAAAACTAGACAGAAGAATTCTGAGAAACTACTTCTTGATGTGTGCGTTCATCTCACAGAGGTGAATATTTCCTTGGATTGTGCAGTTTGGAAACACTCTTCTTGTAGAATCTACATGTGGACATTTGGAGCGCTTTGTGGAAGATTGTACAAAGGGAAATATCTTCACATAAAAACTAGGTAGAAGCATGCTGAGAACCTTCTTTTTGATGTGTGTGTTCATCCCATAGAGTTGAAAATGTCTTTTGATTTAGCAGTTTGGAAACACTCTTTTTGTATAATATGAAAGTGGATATTTGGAGCTCTACTTGGTCTATGTTTAAATTGGAAATATGTTCACATAAAATCTAGACAGAAGCAATCCGAGAAACTCCTTAGTGATGTGTGCATTCATCTCACGGAATTAAAACTTTCTTTTGACTGAGGAGTTTTGAAACTCTCTTTTTGTAGAATCTGCAAGTGGACATTTTGGGCGTTTTGAGGCCTATGGTGGAAAAGGAAATATCTTCACATAAAAATTAGATGGAAGCATTCTGAGAAAATTCTTTGTGATGTGTGCATTCATCACCCAGATTTGAAACTTTCTTTTGATGGACCAGTTTTGAAATAGATTTTGTAGAATCTGCAAGTGGACATTTGCAGTGCTGTGAGGCCTACGGTGGAAACGGAAATATATTCACACAAAAACTAGACAGAAGCATTCTCAGAAACTTCTTTGTGATGTGTGAGTTTTTCTCACAGAGTTGAAACTCTCTTTTGATTGAGCAGTTTGGAGACACACTTTTTGTAGAATCTGCAAGTGGACATTTGGAGCGCTTTGCAGCCTATGGTAGAAAAGGAAATATCTTCACATGAAATCTAGACAGAAGCAATCTGAGAAACTGCTTTGTTATGCGTGCATTCATCTCACTGAGTTAAACCTTTATTTTGATTGGGTAGTTTTGAAACTCTCTTTTTGTACAATCTGCAAGTGGACATTTGCAGCGCTGTGAGGCCTATGGTGGAAACGGAAATATATTCACATAACTAGACAGAAGCATTCTCAGAAACTTCTTTGTGATGTGTGCATTCAGCTCATAGAGTTGAACCTTTCTTTTGATTGAGCAGTTTGGAAACACTCTTTCTGTAGTATCTGCAAATGGATATTTGCAGCTCTTTGAGGCCTGTAGCAGAAAAGGAAATATCTTCAAATAAAAACTAGACAGAATTATTCTCCAAAACTTCTTTGTGATGTGTGCATTCATCTCAGAGAGTTGAAACTTTCTTTTGATTGAGCAGTTTTGAAACAATCTTTTTGAAGAATCTGCAAGAGGATATTTGGAGCACTTTGTGGCCAATGGTAGAAAATGAAATATCTTCACATAAAAACTTGACAGAAGCATTGTCAGAAACTTCTGTGTGATGTGTGCATTCAACTCACATAGTTGAAGATTTCTTAAGATTGAGCAGTTTGGAAACACTCTTCTTGCAGTATCCACAAATGGATATTTGGAGCACTTTGATGTCTATAGCTGAAATGGAAATATCTCCACATAAAAATTAGACAGAAGGATTCTGAGAAACTTCTTTGTGATGTGTGCATTCATCTCCCAGAGTTGAAACTTTCTTTTGATTGAGCAGTTTTGAAAATCTTTTTTTGTAGAATCTGCAAGTGGATATTTGGAGCGCTTTGAGGCCAATAGTGACAAAGGAAACCTCTTCACATAAAAATTAGGCAGAAGCATTCTGGAAACTTCTTTGTGATGTGTGCATTCAACTCATGGAGTTGAACCTTTCTTTTGATTGAGCTGTTTGGGAAGACTCATTTTCTAGTATCTGCAAATGGATATTTGGAGCCCTTTGACGTCTATAGCTTAAAAGGAAATATCTTCACATAAAGACTAGACGGAAGTATTCTCAGAAACTTCTTTGTGATGTGTGCATTCAACTCACAGAGTTGAAATTTTCTTTTAATTGAGCAGTTTGGAAATACTCGCTTTGTAGTATCTGCAATTGGATATTTGGAGCACTTTGAGGCCAATAGATAAAATGGAAATATCTTCACATAAAAAGTAGACAGAAGCATTCTGAGAAACTTCTTTGTGATGTGTGCAATCATCTCACAGAATTAAAATTTTCTTTTGATTAAGCAGTTTTGAAACAAACTTTTTGGAGAATCTCCAATTGGTTATTTGGAGAGCTTTGGGGCCTGTGGTAGAAAAGGAAATAACTTCAGATGAAAACTACACAGAAGCATTCTGAGAAACTTCTTAGGGATGTGTGCATTCAACTCAGAATTGAGCCTTCCTTTTGATTGAGCAGTTTGGAAACACTCTTTTTGTAGTATCTGCAAATGGATATTTGCAGGGCTTTGAGGCCTGTAGCTGAAAAGGAAATATCTTCACATAGAAACTAGACAGAAGTATTCTCAGAAACTTATTTGTGATATCTACATTCATCTCAGAGAGTTGAACCTTTCTTTTGATTGAGCAGTTTTGAAACACTCTTTTTGTAGAATTCGCAAGTGAATATTTGCAGTGCTTAGAGGCCTACATCTGAAAGGAAATATCTTCACATGTAAACTAGACAGAAACATCCTCAGAAACTTCTTTTGATATGTACATTCACCTCACAGATTTGAACCTTTCTTTTTTTGAGCAGTTTGGAAACACTCTTTCTGTAGTATCTGCAAATGGATATTTGCAGCGCTTTGAGGTCTATAGCAGAGAAGGAAATATCTTCACATAAAAACTAGACAGAAGTATTCTCAGAAACTTCTTTGTGATGTGTGCATTCATCTCAGAGAGTTGAACCTTTCTTTTGATTGAGCAGTTTTGAAACACTCTTTTTGTAAAATTTACAAGCGGATATTTGGAGTGCTTTGAGGCGTCTGGTGGAAAAGGAAATATCTTCACATAAAAACTAGACAGAAGCATTCTCAGACACTTCTTTGTGATGTGTACATTCCTGTCACAGATTTGAACCTTTCTTTTTATTGAGCAGTTTGGAACCACTCTTTTTGCAGTACCTGGAAAAGGATATTAGGAGCCCTTTGAGGCCTACAGCTGAAAACAAAATTTCTTCTAATAAAAAATAGACAGAAGGATTCTCAGAAACTTCTTTGTGTTGTCTGAATTCATCTCACAGAGTTAAACCTTTCTTTTGATTGAGCAGTTTTGAAACTATTCCTTTGTAGAATCTGCAAGTGGACATTTGGAGCAATTTGAGGCCTATGGTGGAAAAGGAAATAACTTCACATAAAAACTAGACAGAAGAATTCTGAGAAACTGCTTTGTTATGTGTCCGTTCATCTCACAGAGATGAACCTTTCTTTTGATTGAGCAGTTTTGAAACACTCTTTTTGGAGAATCTGCCTGTGGACATTTGAGCACTTTGAGGCCTATGGTGGATAACGAAATATCTTTATATAATAACTAGACAGAAGCACTCTGAGAAACTTCTTTGTGATGTGTGTGTTCATCTCACAGAGTAAAAACTTTCTTTTGATTGAGCAGTTTTGAAACTCTCTTTTTGTAGTATGTGTAAGTGGACATTTGGAGCACTTTGTGGCCTATGGTGGAAAAGGAAATATCTTCACATGAAAAATAGACAGAAGAATTCTGAGAATCTTCTTTGTGAGGTTAGCGTTCATCTCACAGAGTTGAAACTTTATTTGATTGAGCAGTTTTGAAACTCTCTTTTTGTAGAATCTGAAAGAGAACATTTGGAGCTCTTTGAGGCCTATGGTGGAAAAGGTAATATCTTCACATAAAAACTAGGAAGAAGAATTCTGAGAAACTTCTTTGTGATGTGTGCATTCATCTCACAGAATTGAACCTTTCTTTTGATTGAGCAGTTTGGAAACACTCTTTTATTAGAATCTGCAAGTGGACATTTGGAGTGCTTTGTGGCCTATGTTATAAAAGGAAATATCTTCACATAAAATCTAGACAGAAACAATCTGAGAAACTACTTTGTGATGTGTTCATTCATCTCACTTATTTAAACCTTTCTTTTGTTTGAGCAGTTTTGAAACTCTCTTTTTGTAGAATTTGCAAGTGGACATTTGGAGGGCTTTGAGGACTATGGTGGAAAAGGAAATATCTTCACATAAAAACTAGACAGAAGAATTCTGAGAAACTTCTTTGTGGTGTGTGTGTTTGTCTCCCAGAGTTGAACCTTTCTTTTGATTGAGAAGTTTGGAAAAACTCTTTTTGTAATATCTGCAAGAGGACGATTTTACGCTTTGGGGTCTATGGTAGAAAAGTAAATATCTTCACATAAAATGTAGACAAAAGCAATCTGAGAAACTTCTTGTGATGTGGGCATTCATCTCCCAAAATCAAAAGTTTCTTTTGATTGAGAAGTTTTGAAACTCTCTTTTTGTAGAGTTTGCAGGGGACATTTGGATTGCCTTGAGGCCTATGATGGAAAAGGAAATAGCTTCACATGAAAACTAGACAGAAGAATTCTGAGAAACCACTTTGTGACGTGTGCATTCATCCCACAGAGTTGAACCTCTCTTTTTATTGAGCAGTTTGGAAACACTCTTTTTGTAGAATCTGCAAGTGTACATTTGGAGTGCTTTGCAGCCCATGGTAGAAAAAAAATATCTTCACATAAAATCTAGACAGAAGCAATCTGGGAAACTTCTTTGTGATGTGTGCATTCATCTCACAAAGTTAAAACTTTCTTTTGATTGAGTAGTTTTGAAACACTCTTTTTGAAGACTCTGCAAGTGGACATTTGGAGCACTTTGAGGCCTATGGTGGAAAAGGAAATATCTCCACATAAAAACTAGACAGAAGAATTCTGAGAAACTTCTCTGTGATGCTTGTATTCATCTCAAATAGTTGAACCTTTCTTTCGATTGAGCAGTTTGGAAACACTCTTTTGGTAGAATCTGCAATTTCAAATTTGGAGCTATTTGCGGCCTATGGTAGAGAAGGAAATATCTTCACATACAATCTAGACAGAAGCAATCTGAGAAACTGCTTTGTGATGTGTGCATTCATCTTACAGAGTTAAACCTTACTTTTGATTGAGCCGTTTTTGAAACTCTGTTTTTGTAGAATCTGCAAGTGTACATTTGGATCGCTTTGAGGCCTAGGGTGGAAAAGGAAATATTTTCTCATAAAAACTAGAGAGAAGAATTCGGAAAAACTTCTTTGTGACATGTGCGTTCATCTCACAGAGTTGAAACTCTCTTTTGATTGAGCAGTTTTGCAACACTCTTTTTGTAGAATTTGCAAGTGGATATTTGGAGTGCTTTGATGCCTATGGTGGAAAAGGAAATATCTTAACATAAAAACTAGACAGAAGCATTCTCAGAAACTTCTTTTTGATGTGTGCGTTCAACTCACAGAGTTGAACCTTTCTTTTGATTGAGCAGTTTGGAAACACTCTTATTGTAGTATCTGCAAATGGATATTCAGAGCGTTTTGAGGCCTATAGCTGAAAATGAAATATCTTCACATAAAAACTAGACAGAAGCATTCTGAGAAACTCCTTTGGGATGTGTGCATTCATCTCACAGAGTTGAACCTTTCTTTTGATTGCGTAGGTTGGAAACACTCTTTTTGTAGAATCTGCAAGTGGACATTTGGAGTGCTTTGCAGCCTATGGTAGAAAAAGAAATATCTTCACATAAAATCTAGACAGAAGCAGTCTGAGAAACTTCTGTGTTATGTGTGCATTCATCTCACAAAGTTAAAACTTTCTTTTGATTGAGCAGTTTTGAAACTCTCTTTATGTAGAAACTGCAAGTGGACATTTGGAGCACTTTGAGGCCTATGGTGGAAAAGTAAATATCTTCACATTAAAACTAGACAGAAGAATTCTGAGAAACTTCTTTGTGATGCTTCCTTTCATCTCAGAGAGTTGAAGCTTTATTTGATTGAGCAGTTTGGAAACACTCTTGGTAGAATCTGCAAGTTGAAAATTGGAGCTCTTTGTGACCTATGGTAGAGAAGGAAACATCTTCACATAAAATCTAGACAGAAGCAATCTGAGAAACTGGTTTGAGATGTGTGCATTCATCTCACAGGGTTGAACCTTTCTTTTGATTGAGCAGTTTTGAAACTATCTTTTTGTAAAATCTGCAAGTGGATATTTGGAGTGCTTTGAGGCCTATGCTGTAAAAGGAAATGTCATCACATAAAAACTACACAGAAGCATTCTCAGAAAGTTCACTGTGATGTGTGCATTCATCTCATAGAGTTAAACCTTTCTTTTGATTGAGCAGTTTGGAAACACTCTTTTTATACTGTCTGCAAATGGGTATTTACAGCTCTTTGAGGAGTATAGCTGAAAAGGCAATATCCTCACATAAAAAGTAGACAGAAGCATTCTGAGAAACCTCTTTGTGATGTGTGCATTCATCTCACAGAGTTGAACCTTTCTTTTGATTGAGCAGTTTGGAAACACTCTTTTTGTAGTATCTGCAAGTGGACATTTGGAGTGCTTTGCGGCCTGTGGTAGAAAAGGAAAGATCTTCACAAAAAATCTAGACAGAAGCAATCTGAGAAACTTCTTTGTGATGTGTGCATTCATCTCACAAAGTTAAAACTTTCTTTTGATTGAGCAGTTTTGAAACTCTCTTTTTGTAGTATCTGCAAGTGGATATTTTGAGCACTTTGAGGCCTATGATGGAAAAGGAAATATCTTAACATAAAAACTAGACAGAAGCATTCTGAGAAACTTCTTTGTGATGCTTGCATTCATCTCAAAGAGTTTAACCTTTCTTTGAGCAGTTTGGAAACACTCTTTTGGTAGAATCTGCAAGTTCAAATTTGGAGGTCCTTACGGCCTGTTAGACAAGGAAATATCCTCACATAATATCTAGAGAGAAGCAATCTGACAAACTGGTTTGTGATGTGTGCATTCAACTCACATTGTTGAACCTTTCTTTTAATTAAGCAGTTTTGAAACACTCTTTTTGTAGAATATGTAAGTGGATATTTGGAGCGCTTTGAGGCCTATGCTGGAAAAGGAAATATCTTCACCTAAAAAGTAGACAGAAGCATTCTCAGAAACTTCTTCGTAATGTGTGCATTCAGCTCATGGAGTTGAACCTTACTTTTGATTGAGCAGTTTGGAAACACTCTTTTTATAGTATCTGCAAATGGATATTTGCAGCGCTTTGAGGCCTATAGGGGCACAGGAAATATCTTCACATAAAAACTAGACAGAAGCATTCTGAGAAACTTCTTTGGTATGTGTGCATTCATCTCACAGATTTTAACCTTTTTTTTGATTGAACAGTTTTGAAACACTCTTTTTGGAGAATGTGCATGTGGATATTGGGAGTGATTTGAGGCCTATGGTGGAAAATGAAATATCTTCACATAAAAACTTGACAGAAGCATTGTCAGAAACTTCATTGTGATGTGTGCATTCAACTCACAGAGTTGAAGTTTTCTTTTGATTGAGCAGATTGGAAAAACCCTTTTTACAGTATCCACAAATGGATATTTGGAGCGCTTTGAGGCCTATAGCTGAAATGGAAATATCTTGACATAAAAATTAGACAGAAGCATTCTGAGAAACTTCTTTGTGATGTGTGTGTTCATTTCAAAGAGTTGAACCTTTCTTTTGATTGAGCAGTTTTGAAAATCTCTTTTTGTAGAATCTGCAAGTGGATAATTGGAGTGCTTTGAGGCCAATGTGGAAAAGGAAATATCTCCACATAAAAACAAGACAGAAGTATTCTGAGAAACTTCCTTGTGATGTGTGCATTCAACTCACAGAGTTGAACTTTCTTTTGATTGAGCTGTTTGAAAACACTCATTTTGTAGTATCTGCAAATGTATATTTGGAGCACTTTGATGTCCATAGCTTAAAAGGATATATCCTAACATAAAAACTAGACAGAAGCATTCTCAGAAACTTCTTTGTGATGTGTGCATTCAACTCACAGAGTTGAAGCTTTCTTTTGATTGAGCAGTTTGGAAACACTCGCTTTGTATTATCTGCAATTGGATATTTGGAGCACTTTGAGGCGTATAGCTGAAAAAAGAATTATGTTCACATATAAAGTAGACAGAAGCACTCTGAGAAACTTCTGTGTGCATTCATCTCACAGAGATAAACCGTTCTTTTGATTAAGCAGTTTTGAAACACACTTTTTGGAGAATCTGCAAATGGATATTTGGAGCGCTTAGAGGCCTGTGGTGGAAAGCAAACATCTTCCCATAAAAACTAGACTGAAGCATTCTGAGAAACTTCTTTGTGATGTGTGCATTGAACTCCGAGTTGAACCTTTCTTTTCATTGAGCAGTTTGCAAAGACTCTTTTTGTAGTATCTGCAAATGGATATTTGGAGCACTTTGAGGCCTATAGCTGAAAAAGAAATATCTTCACATAAAAACTAGACAGAAGCATTCTCAGAAACTTCTTTGTGATGTGTGCATTCAACTCACAGAGTTGAAGCTTTCTTTTGATTGAGCAGTTTGGAAACACTCATTTTGTAGTGTCTGAAAATGTCTATTTGGAGTGCTTTGAGGCCTATAGCTGAAAGGAAATATCTTCACATAAAACCTAGACAGAAACATCCTGAGAAACTTCTTTGTGATGTGTGCATTCATCTCACAGAGTTGAAATTGTCTTTTGATTGAACAGTTTTGAAACACTCTTTTTGTAGAATCTGCAAGTGGATATTTGGAGGGCTTTGAGGCCTATGGTGGAAAAGGAAATATCATCACATAAAAACTAGACAGAAACATTCTCAGAAACTACTTTGTGATGTGTGCATTTAACTCACAGAGTTGAAGCTTTCTTTTGATTGAGCAGTTTGGAAACACTCTTTTGGTAGTGCTTTGCGGCCTATGGTAGAATAGGAAATATTTTTGCATAAAAACTAGAGAGAAGAATTATGAGAAACTTCTCTGCTATGTGTGCGTTCATCTCACGGAGTTGAACCTTTCTTTTGATTGTGAATTTTGGAAACACTCTTTTTTTAGGACCTGCAAGTGGACATTTGGTGTGCTTTGCAACCTATGGTAGAAAAGGAAATATCTTCACATAAAAACTAAACAGATCCTGAGGAACTTCTTTGTGATGTGTGCATTCATCTCACAGAGTTGAACTTTTCTTTTGATTGCATAGTTTCAAAACACTCTTTTGGTAGAATCTGCATGTGGAAATTTGGAGCGCTTTGCAGCCTTTGGGAGAA
Organism: Homo sapiens; assembly: GCF_000001405.40. Classification (NCBI taxonomy): domain Eukaryota; kingdom Metazoa; phylum Chordata; class Mammalia; order Primates; family Hominidae; genus Homo; species Homo sapiens. The sequence continues at coordinate 61,287,415 of NC_000007.14, forward strand.
AAGGAAATATCTTCACATAAAATCTAGACAGAAGCCATCTGAGAAACTTTGTTGTGATGTGTGCATTCACCTCCAAGGGATGAACCTTTCTTTTGATAGACCAGTTTTGAAATACTCCTTTTGTGGAATCTGCAAGTGGACATTTCAAGCACCTTAAGGTCTATGGTGGAAAATAAAATATCTTCACATAAAAACTAGACAGAAGAATTCTGAGAAACTTCTTTGTGATGTGCGCGTTCATCTCACAGAGTTGAATCTTTCTTTTGATTGAGCAGTTTGGAAACACTCTTATTGTAGAATCTGCACATGGACATTTGGAGCGTTTTGCTGCCTGTGGTAGAAAAGGAAATAACTTCACATAAAATCTAGACAGAAGCAATCTGAGAAACTTCTTTGTGATGTGTGCATTCATCTCACAGAGGTAACCCTTTCTTTGAGTAGTTTTGAAACTCTCTTTTTGTAGAATCTGCAAGTGGACATTTGGAGTGCTTTGAGGCCTATGGTGGAAAAGGAAATATCTTCACATAAAAACTAGATATAAGCATTCGGAGAAACTTTTTTACGATGTGTGCATTCATCACCCAGAGTTGAACCTTTCTTTTTATGGAACAGTTTTGAAATATTCCTTTTGTAGAATCTGCAAGTGGACATTTGGAGTGCTTTAAGGCCTAAGGTGGAAAAGGAAACGTCTTCGCATAAAAACTAGACAGAATAATTCTGAGAAACTACTTTGTTATGTGTGCGTTCATCTCACAGAGTTGAAAACTTTCTTTTGATTGAGCAGTTCGGAAACACTCTTACGGTAGAATCTGCAAGTTGACATTTGGAGCACTTTGCAGCCAATGTTAGAAAAGGAATTATCTTCACATAAAATCTAGACAGAAGTAATCTGAGAGATTTCCTTGTGATGTGTGCATTCATCTCACAGAGTTAAACCTTTCTTTTCATTGAACAGTTTTGAAACACTCTATTTGTAGAATCTGCAAGTGGACATTTGGGGCACTTTGAGGCCTATGGTGGAAAAGGAAACATCTTCACATAAAATCTCGACAGCAGAATTGTGAGAAAAATCTTTGTGACGTGTGTGTTCATCTCACAGAATTCAACATTTCTTTTCATTGAGCAGTTTGGAAACACTCTTTTTATAGGATCTGCAAGTGGACATTTGGAGTGATTTGCGGCCAATCGTAGAAAAGGAAATATCTTCACATAAAACCTAGAGAGAAGCAATCTGAGAAACTTCTTTGTGATGTGTGCATTCATCTCACAGAGTTAAACCTTTCTCTTGATAGAGCAGTTTTGAAACTCTCTTTTTGTAGAATCTGCAATTGGACATATGGAGAGCTTTGAGTCCCATGGTGGAAAATGAAATATCTTCAAGTAAAAACTAGATAGAAGCATTCTGAGCAACTTCTTTGTGATGTGTGCATTCATCTCCCAGCATTGAACATTTCTTTTGATTGACCAGTTTTGAAATACGTTTTTGGTAGAATCTGCAAGTGAACATTTCGAGTGTCTTGAGGCCTATGGTGGAAAAGGAAATATCTTTACATAGAAACTAGACAGAAGGATTCTGAGAAACTACTTTGTGATGTGTGCATTCATCTTCTAAGTTTGAAGCTTTCTTTTGATTTAGAAGTTTGGAAACACTCTTTTTGTAGAATCAGCAAGAGAATATTTGGAGTGCTTTGGGGCCTATGGTAGAAAAGGAAATATCTTCACATAAAATCTAGACAGAAACAATCTGAGAAACTTCTTTGTGATGTATGAATTCATCTCACTGAGTTATAATTTTCTTTTTATTGAGCAGTTTTGAAACTCTCTTTTTGTAGAACCTGCAAGTAGACATTTGTAGCGCTTTGAGGGCTATCGTGGAAAAGGAAATATCTTCACATAAAAACTAGTCAGAAGAATTCTGAGAAACTTTTTTGTGATGTGTGCGTTCATCTCACAGAGTTGAAACTTTCTTTTGATTGAGGAGTTTTGAAACACTCTTTTTGTAGACTCTGCAAGTGGACATTTAGAGCTCTTTTCGGCCTATCGTAGAAAAGGAAATATCTTCATGTAAAATTTAGACAGAAGCAACCTGAGAAACTTCTTTGTGATGTGTGCATTTGTCTCACAGAGGTAAGCTTTTCTTTTGATTGAGCAGTTTTGAAACTCTCTTTTTGTAGAATCTGCAAATGGACATTTGGAGGGCTTTGAGGTCTATGGTGGAAAAGGAAATATCTTCATATAAAAACTAGTCAGAAGAATTCTGAGAAACGTTTTTGTGATGTGTGCGTTCATCTCACAGAGTTGAATCTTTCTTTATACTGAGCAGTTTGGAAACACTCGTTTTGTAGAATCTGCAAGTGGATATTTGGAGCGCTTTGCGGACTATGGTAGAAAAGGAAATATCTTCACATAAAATCTAGACAGAAGCAATCTGAGAAACCTCTGTGTGATATGTGCATTCATCTAACTTAGTTAAACCTTTCTTTTCATTGAGCCATTTTGAAACTCTCTTTTTGTAGGATCTGCAAGTGGACATTTGGAGCATTTTGAGGCCTATGGTGGAAAAGGAAATATCTTCACATTAAAACTAGACAGCAGCATTCTCAGAAACTCCTTTGTGATGTGTGCATTCAACTCAGAGAGTTGAAACTTTCTTTTGATTAAGCATTTTGGCAACAAACTTTTTGAAGTATCTGCAAATAGATATTTGGAGCCTTTTGACTCCTATAACTGAAAAGGAAATATCTTCACACAAAAACTAGACAGAAGCATTCTGAGAAACTTGTTTGTGAAATGTGCATTCATCTCACACAGTTGAATCATATTTTTGATTGAGCAGTTAGGAAACACTCTTTTTGTAGAATCTGCAAGTGGATATTTGGAGCACTTTGGGGCCTATGGCAGAAAAGGAAATATCTTATCATAGAAATTAGACTGAAGCATTCTCATGTACTTCTTTGTGATGTGTGATTTCAACTCACCGAGTTGAACATTTCTTTGATTGAGCAGTTTGGAAACACTCCTTTGTAGAATCTGCAAGTGGAAATTTGGAGCGCTTTGTGGCCTAGAGCTAAAAAGGTAATATCTTCACATAAAAACTAGACAGAAGCTTTCTCAGAAAATTCTTTGTCATGTGTGCATTCATCTCACAGACTTGAAACTTTCTTTTGTCTGAGCAGATTTGAAACACTCTTTTTGTACAATCTGCAAAAGGGTATTTGGAGTGCTTTGAGGCCTATGGTGGAAAAAGAAATATCTTCACATAAAAACTGGACAGAAGGATTCTCAGAAACTTCTTTGTGATGAGTGCATTCAACTCACAGACTTGAACCTTTCCTTTGATTGAGCAGTTTGGGAACACTATTTTTGTAGTATCTTCAAAGGGATATTTGGAGCGCTTTGAGTCCTATAGCAGAAAAGGAAATAGCTTCACATAAAAATTAGACAGAAGCATTCTCAAAGACTATTTTGTGATTTGTGCATTCATCTCACAGAGTTGAAACTTTCTTTTGATTGAGCAGTTTTGAAACATTCTTTTTGTAGAATCTGCAAGTGGATATTTGGAGCGCTTTGGGTCCTATGGTGGAAAAGAAAATATCTTCTTATAAAAACTAGACACAAGCATTGTGAGAAACTTCTCTGTGATGTGCGCATTCACCTCACAGAGGTGAAGCTTTCTTTTGATTGAGCTGTTTGTAAACACTCATTTTGTAGTATCGGCAAATGGATATTTGGAGCGCTTTGACGCCTATAGCTGAAAAGCAAATATCTTCACATAAAAACTAGACAGAAGCATTTTCAGAAACTTCTTTGTGATTTGTGCATTCAACTCACAGCGTTGAAGCTTTCTTTTGATTGAGTAGTTTGGAAACACTGTTTTTGTAGTATCTGTAAATGGATATATGGAGCACTTTGAGGCCTATAGCTGAAAAGGAAATATCTTCATATAAAAACTAGACAGAAGCATCCTGAGAAACTTCTTTGTGATGTGTGCATTCATCTCACAGATTTGAACCTTTCCTTTGATTGAGCAGTTTGTAAACCCTCTTTTTGTAGAATCTGCAAGTGGAGATTTGGAGCGCTTTGAGGCCTGTGGTGGAAAAGGGAATATATTCACATGAAAACTAGACAAAAGCATTCTCAGATACTTCTTTATGATATGGGCATTCAACTCATAGATTTGAACCTTTCTTTTCATTGAGCAGTTTGGAAACACTCTTTTTCCTGTGTCTGCAAGTGGATATTTGGAGTGCTTTTAGGCCTATAGTTGAAAAGAAAACATCTTCACATAAAAACTAGACAGAAGCAATCTGAGAAAATTCTTCATGATTTGTGCATTCTTCTCACATAGTTAAACGTTTCTTTTGATCGAGCAGTTTTGAAACACTCTTTGTAGAACCTGGAAGAGGATATTTAGAGTGCTTTGGTGCCTAAATCTGAAAAGGAATTATATTCACATGAAAAGTAGACAGAAGTATTCTGAGAAACTTCTTTGTGATGTGTGCATTCATCTCACAGAGTAGAATCTTTTTTTTGACTGAGCAGTTTTGAAAAACCCTTTTTGTACATTCTGAAAGTGAATATTTGGAGCACTTTGAGGCCTACGGTGGAAAAGGAAATATCTTCACAGAAAACTAGACAGAAGCATTCTCAGAAAATTCTTTGTGATTTGTGCATTCAACTCACAGAGTTGAAGCTTTCTTTAGTTTCAACAGTTTGGGAACACTCTTTTTGTGGTATCTGCGAATGGATATTTGGAGTGCTTTGAGACCTATATCTGAAAAAGAAATATGTTCACATAAAAACTAGACAGAAGCAAACTGACAAACTTCTTCATGCTGTGTGAACTCATGTCCCAGAATTGAACCTTTCTTTTGAAGGACCAGTTTTGAAATACTTTTTTAGCAGAATCTGCAAGTGGACAATTCTAGTGCCTTCAGGCCTACAGAGGAAAAGGAAATATCTTCATATAAAAACTACACAAAAGAATTCTGAGAAACTCCTTTTGATGTGTGCGTTCATCTCACAGAGTTCAACATTTCTTCTGACTCAGCCGTTTTTGAAACTCTCTTTTTGTAGAATCTGCAAGTGGATATTTGGAGCACTTTGAGGCTCATGGTGGAAAAGGAAATATCTTCACATAAAAACTACAGAGAAGAATTCTCAGAAACTTCTTTGTGATGTGTGCATTCATCTCACAGAGTTGAAACTTCCTTTTGATTGAACAGTTTTGAAGCACTCTTTTTGTAGAATCTGCAAGTGGACAATTGGAGCGCTTTGCGGGCTATGATAGAAAAGGAAATATCTTCACATAAAATCTAGACAGGAACCATCTGAGAAACCTCTTCATAATGTGTGCATTCATCTCACAGAGTTAAAACTTTCTTTTCATTGAGAAGTTTTGAAACTCTTTTTTTGTAGGATCTGCAAGTGGACATTTGGAGCGCTTTGAGGCCTGTCGTGGAAAAGGAAATATCTTCACATAAAAAATAGACAGAAGAAATATGAGAGACGTCCTTGTGATGTGTGCATTCATCACACAGAATTGAACCTTTCTATTGATTGAGGAGTTTTGAAACACTCTTTTCGTAGAATCTGCAAGTGGACATTTGGAGCACTTTGCGGTCTATGGTAGAAAAGGAAATATCTTCACTTAAAATCTAGACAGAAGCAATCTGAGAAACTTCTTTGTGATGTGTGCATTTGTCTCACAGAGGTAAACCTTTCTTTTGATTGAGCAGTTCTGAAACTCTCTTTTTGTAGTATCTGTAGGTGGATTTTTGGAGCCCTTTGAGGCCTCTGGTGGAAAAGGAAATATCTTCACATAAAAACTAGACAGAAGCATTCTCTGAACCTTCTTTGTGATGTGTACATTCAACTCACAGTTTTGAACATTTCTTTTGATTGAGCAGTTTGGAAATACTCTTTTTGTAGAATCTCCAAGTGGAGATTTGGAGCGCTTTGAGGCCTATGGTGGAAAATAAAATATCTTCACATAAAAACTAGACAGAAGCATTCTCAGATACTTCTTTGTGATCTGGACATTCAACTCATAGAGCTGAACCTTTCTTTTCTTTGAGCAGTTTGGAAACACTCTTTTTCCAGTATCTGCAAGTGGATATTTGGAGCGCTTTTAGGCCTATAGCTGAAAAGGAAATATCTTCACATAAAAACTAGAAAGAAGCAATCTGAGAAAATTCTTCATGATGTGTGCATTCACAGAGTTGAATTTGGACTGCTTTGAGGCCCATGGTGGAAAAGGAAATATCACACAAAAACTAAAAAGAAGCATTCTCAGAAACATTTTTGTGATGTGTGCATGTAGCTCATAGGGTTGAACCTTTCTTTTAATTGAGCAGTTTCTAAACACTCTTTCTGTAGTATCTGCAAATGGATATTTGCAGCAGTTTGAGGCCTGTAGCGGAAAAGGAAATATCTTCACATAAAAGCTATACAGAAGAATTCTCAGTAACTTCTTTGTGATGTGTGTATTCATCTCAGAGAACTGAAGCTTTCTTTTGATTGAGGAGTTTTGAAATGCACTTTTTGTAGAATCTGCAAGTGGATATTTGGAGCGCTTTGAGGCCTTTGGTGGAAAAGGAAATATCTTCACATAAATCTAGACAGAAGCATTCTCAGAAACTCTTTTGTGATGTGTGCACTCAACTCAGAGAGTTGACCCTTTCTTTTCATTAAGCAGTTTGGAAACAAACGTTTTGAAGTATCTGCAAGTGGATATTTGGAGAGCTTTGACTCCTGTAACTGAAAAGGAAATATCTTGACATAAAAACAAGACAGAAGCATTCTGAGAAACTTGTTTGTGATGTGTGCATTCATCTCACAGAGTTGAACCACACTTTTGATTGAGCAGTTAGGAAACACTCTTTTTGCAGAATCTGCAAGTGGATATTTGAAGCGCTTTGAGGCCTATGGTGGAAAAGGAAATATCTTCACATAAAAACTAGACAGAAGCATTCTCAGATACTTCTTACTGATGTGTGGTTTCAACTCACCGAGTTGAACAATTCTTTTGATTGAGCAGTTTGGAAACACTCTTTTTGTAGTATCTGCAAATGGATATTTTGTGCACTTTGAGGCCTATAGGTGAAAAGTAAATCTCTTCACATAAAAACTAGTCAGAAGCATTCTGAGAAACTAATTTGTGATGTGTGCATTCATCTCACAGAGTTGAACCTTTCTTTTGTTTGATCAGTTTGCAAAGACTCTTTTTGTAGTATCTGCAAATGGATATTTGGAGTGTTTTAGGCCTATAGCTGAAAAGAAAGTATCTTCACATAAAAACTAGACAGAAGCATTCTCAGAAACTTCTTTGTGATGTAAGCACTCATCTCACAGAGTTGAACCTTTCTTTTGATTGAGGAGTTTTGAAACAGTCTTTTTGCAGAATTCGCAAGTGGATATTTGGAGCACTTTGAAGCCTCTGGTGGAAAAGGAAATATCTTCAAATGAAAACTAGACAGAAGCATTCTCAGAAAATTCTTTGTGGTGTGTGCATTCATCTCACAGTGTTGAACCTCTCTTTTGATTGAGCAGTTTTGAAACACTCCTTTGTAGAATCTGCAAGTGGGTATTTGGAGCGCTTTGAGGCCTACGGTGGAAAACAAATATCTTCACATAAAAACTAGACAGAAGCATTCTCAGGTACTTCTTTGTGATGTGTGCATTCAACTCACAGAGTTGAACCTTTCTTTTGATTGAGAAGTTTAGAAAAACTCTTTTTGTAGAATCTGAAAGTGGATTATTGGAGTGCTTTTAATTCTACAGTGGAAAAGGAAGTACATTCTCATAAAAACAAGACAAAAGCATGTTCAGAGGCTCCTTTGTGATGAAGGCATTCAACTAACAGAGCTGAGCCTTTCTTTTGATTGAGCAGTTTGGAAAAACTCTTCTTGTAGTGTCTACAAATGAATATTTTGAGCGCTTTGAAGCCTATAGCTGAAAATGAAATATCTTCATATAAAAAATAGAAGCATTCTCAGAAACTTATTTGTGATGTGAGCATTCAACTCACAGAGTTGAAGCTTTCTTTTGGTTAAGCAGTTTGGAAACATTCATTATGTACTGTCTGCAAATGGATATTTGGAGTGCTTTGAGGCCGATAGCTTAAAGGAAATATCTTCACGTAAAAACTAGAGAGAAGCATCCTGAGAAACTTCTTTGTGATGTGTGCATTCATCTTACACAGTTGAGACTTTCTTTTGATTGAACAGTTTTGAAACACTCTTTTCGTAGAATCTGAAAGTGGCTATTTGGAGCACTTTGAGGCCTATGGTGGAAAAGGAAATATCTTCACATAAAAACTAGACAGAAGCATTCTCAGAAACTACTTTGTGATGTGTGCATTCACCTCACAGAGTTGAAGCTTTCTTTTCTTTGAGCAGTTTGGAAACACTTTTTGTAGTATCTGCAAATGGATATTTGGAGTGCTTTGAGGTCTATAGCTGAAAGGAAATATCTTCACATAAAAACTAGGCAGAAGCATCCTGAGAAAATTCTTTGTGATGTGTGCATACATCTCACAGAGTTGAACTTTCCTTTTGATTGAGCAGTTTTGAAACACTCTTTTTGAAGTATTTTCAAATGGATATTTACAGTGCTTTGAGGCCTATAGCCGAAAAGGAAGACTCTTCACCTAAAAACTAGACAGAAGTATTCTCAGAAACTACTTTGTGATGTGCGCATTCAACTCACAGAGTTGAAGCTTTCTTTTGATTGAGCAGTTTGGAAACACTCTTTTTGTTGTATCAGCCAATGGATATTTTGAGCACTTTGAGTCCTATAGATGAAAAGGAAATCTCTTCACATAAAAACTAGGCAGAAGCATTCTGAGAAACTTCTTTGTGATGTATTCATTCATCTCACAGAGTTGAACCTTTCTTTTGATTGAGCAGTTTTGAAACTCTCTTTTTGTAGAATCTACAGGTGGACATTTGGAGCGCTTTTCAGCCTACATTTCAAAAGGAAATATCTTCACATAAAATCTAAACAGAAGCAATCTGAGAAACTTCTTTGTGATGTGTGCATTCATTTCACAGAGTTAAACCTTTGTTTTGATTGAGCAGTTTTGAAACTCTGTTTTTGTAGAATCTGCAAGTGGACATTTGGAGTGCTTTGTGGCCTATGTTATAAAAGGAAATATCTTCACGTAAAATCTAGACAGAAGCAATCTGAGAAACTTCTTTGTGATGTGTTCATTCATCTCATGGATTTAAACCTTTCTTTTGTTTGAGCAGTTTTGAAACTCTCTTTTTGTAGAATGTACAAGTGGACATTTGGAGCCTTGAACCTTTTTTTGATTTAGCAGTTTTGAAACACTCCTTTTGTAGAATCTACAAGTAGAATGCATACATCACAAAGAAATTTCTCAGAATGCTTCTGACTAGTTTTTATGTAAAGATGTTTCCTTTTCCTCCATAGACCTCAAATCACTCCAAATATCCACTTGCAGATATAGAAAAAGACTTTTTCAAAACTGCTCAATCAAAAGAAAAGTTCAACTGTGTGAGATGAATGCACACATCACACAGAAGTTTCTCAGAATGCTTCTGTCTAGTTTTTATGAGAATATATTTCCTATTTCTACGTAGGCCTCAATGGGTGCACAAATATCCCTTTGCAGAATCTACAAAACGACTGTTTCCAAACTTTTCCATCAAAAGAAAGTTTGAACTCTGTGAGGTGAATGTGCACATCACAAAGAACTTTCTCAGAATCCTTCTGTGTAGTTTTTATGTGAAGATATTTCATTTTTCACAATAGGCCTCAAAGTGCTACAAATATCCATTTACAGATTCTACAAAAAGAATGTTTCCAAACTGCTCAATCAAAAGAAAATTTCAACTCTGTGGGATGAAAACACACATGACAAAAAAGTTTCTCCGACAGTTTCAGTCTAGTTTTTATGTGAAGATATAAACTATTTCCCCAGCATCGTCAATGGGCTAATAAATGTCCCTATGCAGATTCTAAGGATCGACTGTTTCCAAACTGCCCAATCAAAAGAAAGTTTCAACTCTGTGAGATGAAAGCACACATCACAAAGAAGTTTCTCAGAAAGTTTCTGTCTAGTTTTTATGTGAAGATATTTCCTATTTCCCCATATGCCTCATTGAGTTCACAAATATCCCTTTGCAGCTGCTTCAAAACGACTGATCCCAAACTGCTCAATCAAAAGGAATTTCCAACTCTGTGAGATGAATGCACTCTTCACAAAGAAGTTTCTCAGAATGTTTCTGTCTAATTTTTATGTGAACATATTTCCTTTTCCACCACAGGCCTCTATGAGCTCCAAGTATCCACTTGCAGATTCCACAAAAAGAGTGTCTCAAAACTGCTCAATGAAAAGAAAGCTTCCCTGTAACATAAATGAGCACATCAAAAAGAAGTTTCTCAGACTGCTTCTGTCTAGCTTGATGTGAAAATATTTCCTTATCCACCATAGGACTCAAAGTGCTCCAAATATCCACTTGCAGATACTACAAAAAGATTCTTTCCAAACTCCTCAATCAAAAGAAAGGTTCAACTCTGTGAGATGAATGCACTCATCATGAAAAGTTTCTCCAATTTCTTCTGTCTAGTTTTCATGTGAAGATATTTCCTTTTTCACCATATGCCTCAAAGCACTCCAAATATCCATTTCAGGATTCTACAAAAAGACTCTTTCCAATCTAGTCAATCAAAAGAAAGTTTCAACTCCTTGAAACATCACAAAGAAGATTCTCAGAACGTTTCAGTGTAGTTTTTATGTGACAATATTTCCTATTGCTCCTTAGGCCCCAATGGGTTCAGAAATATGCCTTTGCAGATTCTACAAAACGACGGTTTCTAAACTGCTTAATCAAAAGAAAGGTTCATGTCTGTGAGATGAAGGTGCACATTACAAAGAAGTTTCTCAGAATGCTTCTGCCTAGTTTTTATGTGAAGATATTTCCTTTTTCACCATAGGCCTCAAAGCGCTCCGAATATCCATTTGCAGATTCCATAAAAAGACTGTTTCCAAACTGCTCAACCAAAACAAAGTTTCAACTCTGTGAGACGAAAGCACACATCACAAAGAAGTTTCTCAGAAAGGTTCTGTCTAGTTTTAATGTGAAGATATTTTCTACTTCCCATAGGCCTCAGTGAGCTCACAAATATCCCTCCACAGATTCTTCAAAACAACTGTATCCAAATTGCTCCATCAAAAGAAATGTTCAACTCTGTGAGATGAATGCACACATCACAAAGAATTTTCTCAGAATGCTTTGGTCTAGTCATTATGTGAAGATATTTCCTTTTTCACTGTAGGCTTCAAGGCGATCCAAATATCCTTTTGAAGGTACTACAAAAAGACTTTTTCCAAACTGCTCAATCAAGAGAAACGTTCAACACTGTGAGATGAATGCACACGTCACAAAGAAGTTTCTCAGAATTGTTCTGTCTAGTTTTTATGTGAAGATATTTCCTTTTTCACCATAGGCCTAAAAGCAATCCAACTATCCATTTGCAGATTCTACAAAAACACTGTTTACAAACTGCTCAATCAAAAGAAAGTTTCAACTCTGTGGTATGAAAACACACATCACAAAGAAGTTTCTCAGAATGCTTCTGTCTACTTTTTATGTCAAGAAATTTCCTATTTCCCCATAGGCCTCAAAGGGCTCACAAGTATCCCTTTGCGGATCCTACAAAATGACTGTTTCAAAACTACTCAATCAAAGGAAATATTCAACTCTGTGAGATGAATGAACCCATCACAAAGAAGTTTCTCAGAGTGCTTCTGTCTAGTGTTTAGGTGAAAATATTTCCTCTTCCACAATAGGCCTAAAAGCGTTCCAAATATCCACTTGGAGATTCTACAAAAAGAGTGTTCCCAAACTGCTCAATCAAAAGACAGGTTCAACTCTCTGAAATGAAAGCACACATCACAAAGAAGTTTCTCAAAAGCCTTCTGTCTCATTTTAATGTTAAGATATTTCCCGTTTCTCCATAGGCCTCAAGGCGCTCCAAATATCCATTTGCAGATACCACAATAAGACTATTTCCAAACTACTCAATCAAAAGAAAGGTTCAAGACTGTAAGATGAATGAAAACATCCAAAAGAAGTTTCTCAAAATGTTTCTGTCTAGTTTTTATGTGAAGATATTTCCTTTTTCACCATAGGCCTCAAAGCACTCAAAATATCCATTTGTAGATTCTACAAAAAGACTGTTTCCAAACTGCTCAACCAAAAGAAAGTTTCAAATCTGTGAGATGAAAGCACACCTCACAAAGAACTTTCTCAAAAAATTTCTCTCTAGTTTTTATATGAAGATATTTCCTATTTCCCCATAGGCGTCAATGGGCTCACAAATATCCCTTTGCAGATTCTACAAAATGACTGCTTCTAAACTGCTCAATCAAAAGAAATATTCAACTGTGTCAGATGAATGCACCCATCCATCACAAAGAAGTTTCTTAGCATGTTTCGATCTAGTTTTTAGGTGAAGATATTCCCCATGCCATAAAAGCCTTCAAAGAGTTCCAAATATCCCCTTGCAGATTCTACAAAAACAGTGTTCCCAAACTGCTCAATCAAAAGAAAGGTTCAACTCTGTGAAATGAAAGCACACATCACAAAGAAGTTTCTCAAAAGGATTATCTTTCGTTTTTATGTTAAGATATTTCCTTTTTCACCATAGGCCTCAAAGCACTCCAAATATCCATTAACAGATACAACAAAAAGACTGTTTCCAAACTGCTCAATCGAAAGAAAAGTTCAACTCTGTGAGACGAATGCACACATCACAAAGAAGTTTCTCAGAATGCTTCCGTCTATTTTTTATGTGAAGATATTTCCTTTTTCACCATAGGCCTAAAAGCGCTCCAAATATCCATTTGCAGATTCTACAAACAGATTGTTTTCAACCTACTCAATCAAAAGAAAGTTTCATCTCTGTGAGACGAAAGCACACATCTCAAAGAAGTTTCTCAGAAACTTTCTGTCTAGTTTTTATGTGAAGATATTTCCTATTTCCCCATAAACCTCAGAGATAAGCTCACAATTATCCCTTTGCAGAATCTACAAAATGACGGTTTCCAAACTGCTCAGTCAATAGAAAGATTCAAATCTGTGAGATGAATGCACACGTCACAAAGAACTTTCTCAGAATGCTTCTGTCTAGTGTTTATATGAAGATATTTCCTTTTCCACCATGGCCTCAAAGCACTTCAAATATCCAGTTGCAGATTCTACAAAAAGAGAGTTTCAAATCTGCTCAATCAAAAGAATGGTTCAACTCTGTGAGACGAATGCACACATCGCAAAGAAGTTCCTCAGAACGCTTCTGTCTAGTTTTTATGTAAAAATATTTCCTGTTTCACCATTTGCTTCAAAGCACTCCAAATATCCGTTTGCAGATACTACAAAGAGACTCCTTCCAAACTGCTCAATCAAAAGAAATGTTCAACGCTGTGTGATGAATGCACACATCACAAAGAAGTTTCTCAGAATGCTTCTGTCTAGTTTTTATGTGAAGATATTTCCTTTTTCACCATAGGTTTCATAGTGCTCCAAATATCCATTTGCATATACTACAAAAAGACTTTTTCTAAACTGCTCAATGAAAAGAAATGTCCAACACTGTGAGATGAATGCACATAACACTAAGAAGTTTCTGAGAATGCTACTGTCTAGTTTTTATGTGAAGATATTTGTTTTTCACCATAGGCCTCAAAGCATTCAAATATCCATATGCATATATCACAAAAAGACTGTTTCCAAACTGCTCAATCAAGAGAAACGTTCAACCCTGTGAGATGAATGCACACATCACAAAGCAGTTTCTCAGAATGCTTCTGTCTAGTTTTTATCTGAAGTTATTTTCTTTTTCACTGTAGGCCTCAATGATCTCCAAATATCCATTTGCAGATACTACAAAAAGACTGTTTCCAAACTACTCAATCAAAAGAAATGTTCAACTCTGTGAGATAAATGCACACATCACAAAGGAGTATCTCAGAATGCTTCTGTCTAGTTTTTATGTGATGGTATTTCCTTTTTCACTATAGGCCTCAAAGTGCTCCAAATTTCCATTTACATATTCTACAAAAAGACTTTTTCTAACCTGCTCAATCAACAGAAAGTTTCAACTCTGTGGACTGAAAGCACACATCACAAAGAAATTTCTCAGAATGCGTCTGTCTAGCTTTTCTCTGAGGATATTTCCTATGTCCCCAGAGGCCACAAGGGACTGACAAATATCCCTTTGCAGCTTCTATAAAAAAGACTGTTTCCAAACTGCGCAATAAAAAGCAAGTTTCAACTCTGTGAGATGAATGCACTCATCACAAAGTAGTTTCTCAGAATGCTTCTGTCTAGTTTTTATGCAAAGATATTTCCTTTTCCACCGTAGGCCTCAAAGCACTCCGAATATCCATTTCCAGATACTACAAAAAGACTTTTTCAAAACAACTCAATCAAAAGAAATGTTCAACTCTGTGAGATGAATGCACACATGACAAAGAAGTTTCTCAGAATGCTTCTGCCTTGTTTTTATGAGATTTTTCCTTTTTCACCATGGGACTCAAAGCACTCCAAATATGCATTTTTCAGATTCTACAAAAAGACTGTTTCTGAACTGCTCAATCAAAAGAAAGTTTCAACTCTGTGGGATGAAAACTCACATCACAAAGTAGCGTCTTAAATTGTTCATGTCGAGCTTTTATGTGAAGATATTTCTGATTTCCCCAAATGCCTCAATGGGCTCACAAATTTCCCTTTTCAAATTCTACAAATCAACTATTTCCAAACTATTCAATCAAAAGAAATATTCAACTCTGTGAGATGAATGCAAACATCACAAAGAAGTTTCTCAGAATGCTTCAGTCCAGATATTATGTGAAGATATTTCCTTTTCAAAAATAGGCCTCAAATCACTCCACATATCCACTTGCAGATACTATAAAAAGACTGTTTCAAAACCGCTCAATCAAAAGAAAGGTTCATCTCTATGAGATAAATGCACAAAACACTAAGAAGTTTCTCAGAAAGTTTCTGTCTAGTTTTTATGTGAAGATATTTCCTATTTCCCCATAGGCCTCAATTGGCTCAAAAATTTCCCTTTGCAGATTCTACAAAAAGAGCGTTTCCAAACTGCTTAATCAAAAGAAAGGTTCAACTCTGTGAGATGAATGCACACATGACAAAGTAGTTTCCCAGAATGCTTCTGTGTAGTTTTCATGTGAAGATATTTCCTTTTCCACCATAGGCCTCAAATCGCTCTAAATATCCACTTGCAGATTCTACAAAAAGAGTGTTTCAAAACTGCTCAATCAAAAGAAAGGTTCAACTCTGTGAGATGAATTCACACATCACAAGGGAGTTTCTCAGAATGCTTCTGTCTAGTTTTTATGTGGAGATATTTTCTTTTCTACCATAGGACTAAAGGAGTCCAAATCTCCACTTGCAGATCCTACAAAAAGATTATTTCAAAATTGCTCATTCAAAAGAGAGGTTCAACTCTTTAAGATGAATGTACACATCACAAAGAAGTTTCTCAGAATGGTTCCGTCTACTTTTTCTGTGAAGGTGTTTCCTTTTCCACCATACACCTCAAATTGCTCTAAATATCCATTTTCAGATTTTCAGATTCTACAAAAAGACTGTCTCCAAACTGCTCAATCAAAAGAAAGTTTCACCTCTGCAAGAGGAAAGCACACACCACAAAGAAGCTCCTCAGAATGGTTTGTCCAGTTTTTATTTGAAGATATTTTCTATTTCCCCGGAGACCTCAAAGGGCTCACAAATTATCCATTTGCAGATTCTAGAAAAAGATGGTTTCCAAACTCCTCAATCAAAAGATAGTTTCAACTCTGTGAGATGAATGCACACATCACAAAGTAGTTTCTCAGAATGCTTCTGTCTAGTTTTTATGTGAAGATATTTCCTTTTCCACCATAGGACACAAAGCACTCCAAATATCCATTTGCAGATTCTACAAAAGACTCTTTCCAAACTGCTCAATCAAAAGAAAATTTCAACCCTGTGGAAAGAAAGCACACATCACAAATATTTTCTCAGAATGCTTCTGTCTAGTTTTTATTTGAAGATATTTCCTGTTTCCCCAGAGGCCTCAAAGGGCTCACAAATTATCCCTTTGCAGAATCTACAAAAAAGATGGTTTCCAAACTCCTCAATCAAAAGACAGTTTCAACTCTGTGAGATGAATGCACACATCACAAAGTAGTTTCTCAGAATGCTTCTGTCTAGTTTTTATGTGATATTTCCTTTTCCACCATAGGCCTCAGAACACTCCAAATATTCATTTCCAGATAGTCCAAAAAGACTGTTTGAAAACTGCTCAATCAAAAGAAAGGTTCAACTCTGTGAGATGAATGCACACATCACAAAGAAGTTTCTCAGAATGCTTCTGTCTAGTTTTTATGTGAAGGTATTTCCTTTTCCACCATAGGCCTCAAAGCACTACAAATATCTACTTGCAGATTGCACAGAAAGAGGGTTTCAAAGCTACTCGCTCGAAAGACAGGCTCAACTGTGATATGAATGCCCACATCACAAAGAAGTTTCTCAGAATGCTTCTGTCTAGTTATCATGTGAAGATATTTCCTTTTTCACCATAGTCCTCAAATCCTTCCAATTATCCATTTGCAGATTCTCCAAAAAGAGTTTTTCCAAACTGCTCAATCAAAAGTAAGGTTCAACTCTGTGAGTTCAATGCACACATCACAAAGTAGTTTCTCAGAATGCTTCCGACTAATTTTTATATGAAGATATTTCCGTTTCCACCAGAGGCCTCAAAGTGCTTCAAATATCCAATTTCAGATTCTACAAAAAGAGTATTTCAAGACTGCTGAATCAAAAGAAAGTTTCAACTCTTTGAGATGAATGCACACATCACAGAGAAGTTTCTCAGAATGCTTCTGTCTAGTTTTTAGGCGAAGATATTTCCTTTTTTACCATAGACCTCAAAGCGCTCCAAATATCCACTTCCAGATACTACAAAAAGACTGCTTCCAAACTGCTCAATCAAAAGAAAAGTTCAACTCTGTGAGATGAAAGAAGACATCACAGAGGAGTTTCTCAGTGTGCTTAAGTCAAGTTTTAAGTGACGATATTTTGTTTTTCACCATAGGCCTCAAAGTGCTCCAAACAACCATTTGCAGATTCCGTAAAAAGACTGTTTCCAAAATGCTCAATCAAAAGAAAGTTTCAACTCTGTGTGATGAAAGCACACGTCACAAAGAAGTTTCTCAGAAATATTCTGTCTAATTTTTCTGTGAAGACATTTCTTATTTCCCATAGGCCTCAATGGGCTCACAAATCTCCCTCTGCAGATTGTATAAAACGACTGTTTCAAAACTGCTCCATCAAAAGTAAGGTTCAACTCTGTGACATGAATGCACACATCACAAAGAAGTTTCTCAGAATGCTTCTGTCTGGGTTTTAGGTGAAGATATTTCCTTTTCCATGATAGGCCTAAAAGCACTCCAAATATCTACTTGCAGATTCTACAAAAAGACTGTTTCCAAACTGCTCAGTCATAAGAAAGTTTCAACTCTGTGAGATGAAAGCACTCATCACAAAGAGGTTTCTCAGAAAGTTACTGTCTAGTTTTTATGTGAAGATATTTCTTATTTCCCCATAGGTCTCAATGGGCTCACAAATATCCCTTTGCAGATTCTATGAAAAGACTACCTCCAAACTGCTGAATCAAAAGAAAGTTCAGGTTTGTGATATGAATGCACACGATCCAAATAAGTTTCTCAGAAAACTTCTGGTTAGTGTTTTTGTGAAGCTATTTGCTTTTACATCATAGACCTCAAAGCACTCCAAATATCCATTTGAAGATTCTAAAAAAAGAACCTTTCCAAACTTCTCAAGCAAAAGAAAGGTTCATTTCTGTGAGATGAATGCCCTCATCACAAAGAAGTTTCGCAGAATTATTCTGTATGGTTTTTATGTGAAGATATTGCCTTTTGCACCCCTGGCCTTAAACCTGTCCCAAATATACCAATGTAAATATTACAAACAGACTGCTTCTAAGCTGCTCCATCAAAAGAAAGGTGCAACTCTTTGAGATGAATGCACACATCACAAAGATGTTCCTCAGAATGCTTCTGTCTAGTTTTTATATGAAGATATTTCCTTTTCCATCATAGGCCTCAAAGTGCTCCAAATATCCACATGCAGATTCTATTAAAGAGTATTTTGAAACTGCTCAATCAAAAGAAAGGTTCAACTCTGTGAGATGAATGCACACATCACAAAGAAGTTTCTCAGAATGCTTCTGTCTAGTTTTTATGTGAGGATATTTCCTTTTTCGCCATAGGCCTCAAAGCACTACAAATATCCACTTGCAGATTCTACAAAAAGACTGTTTCCAAAATGCTCAATCAAAGAAAGTTTCAGCTCTCTGAGATGAAAGCACAAATCACAAAGAAGTTTCTCACAAATTTTCTGTCTAATTTTTATGTGAATATATTTCCTATTTCCCCATAGGCCTCAATGGGCTTACAAATATCCCATTGCAGATTCTACAGATCGACTGTTTCCGTACTGCTCAATCAGAAGAAACTTTCAACTCTGTGATGTGAATGCACCCATCATAAAGAAGTTTCTCAGAATGTTTCTGTCTAGTATATATGTGAATATATTTCCTTTTCCACTTTAGGCCACAAAGTGCTCAAAATATACACATGCAAATTCTACAAAAAGAGGTTTCCAAAACTGCTCAATGAAAAGAAAAGTTCAACTCTGTGGGATGAATGCTCACATCACAAAGAAGTTTTTCAGAATGCTTCTGTCTAGTTTTTATGTGAAGATATTTCCTTTTCCACCACAGGTCTCAAACCACTCCAAATATCCACCTGCAGATTCTAAGAAAAAGAATGTTTCAAAACTGTTCAATCTAAAGAAATGTTCACCTCTGTGAGATGAATGCACATATCACAAAGAAGTTTCTCAGAATGTTTCTGTCTAGTTTTTATGTGAACATATTTCCATGTCAGCCATGTGTCTCAAAACACTCCAAATATCCACTTGTAGATACTACAAAAAGACTGTTTCAAAACTGCTCAAACAAAAGGTTCAACTCTGTGACATGAATGCACACATCACAAAGAAGTTTCTCTGAATGCTTCTGTCTAGTTTTTATGTGAAGATACTTCCTTTTTCAACTTAGGCCTCAAAGCGCTCCAAATATCCATTTGTAGATTGTACAAAAAGGCTCTTTCCAAACCACTCAATCAAAAGAAAGTTTCAACTCAGTGAGATGAAAGCACACATCACAAAGAAGTTTCTCAGAAACTTCCTGTCCAGTTTTTATGTGAAGATATTTCATATTTCCACATAGGCCGCAATGGGATCACAAGTATCCCTTGGCAGATTCTACGAAAAGACTGTTTCCAAACTGCTCAATCAAAAGAAATTTCAGGTTTGTGAGATGAATGAACACAATCCAAATATGTTTCTCAGAAGGCTTCTGTTTAGTGTTTATGTGAAAATATTTCCTTTTTCACCGTTGGCCTCAAAGCACTCCAAATATCCATTTGCAGATTCTACAAAAAGAGTGTTTCCAAGCTGCTCAATCAAAAGAAATGTTCAACTTTGTGAGATGAATGCCCACATCACAAAGAAGTCTTTCAGAACGATTCTGTCCTGTTTTTATATGAAGATATTGCCTTTTTCATCCCTAGCCTTAATCCTGTCACAAATATCCCTCTGCAGATACTACAAAAAGACTGCTTCCAAACTGCTCCATCAAAGGAAATTTCACCTGTGTGAGATGAAAACATACATCACAAAGTAGTCTCTCAGAATGCTTTTGTTTAGTTTCTATGTGAAGATATTTCCTTTTTCACCCCAGGCCTCAAACTGGTCACAAATATCCCTCTGCATATACCACAAAAAGAGTGTTTCCAAACTGCTCTATCAAAAGAAAAGTTCAACTCTGTGAGATGAATGCACACATCACAAATAAGTTTGTCATAATGCTTCTCTCTAGTTTTTATGTGAATATATTTCCTATTTCACCATTGGACTCAAATCGCTGCAAATATCCATTTGCAGATTCTTCAAAAACAAAGCTTCCCACCTGCTCAATCAAAAGAAATGTTCAACTCTGTGAGATGAATGCACACATCAGAAAGAAGTTTCTCAGAATGCTTCTGTCTTGTTTTTATTTAAATATATTTCCTATTATACCGTAGGACAAAAAGGGCTCACAAATATCCCCATGCAGATTCTATGAAAAGTCTCTTTCCAAACTGCTCAATCAAAAGAAAGATTCGAATCTGTGAGATGAATGCACACATCACAAAGAAGTTTCTCAGAATCCTTCTGTCTAGTTTTTATGTGAAGATATTTCCTTTTTCACTATAGGTCTCAAAGCGATCCAAATATAAATTTGCAGACTCTACAAGAAGATTATTTCCAAACTGTTCAGTCAAAAGAGAGGTTCAACCCTGTGAGATGAAAGCATACATCAATAAGAAGTTTCTCAGAAAGCTTCTGTCTAGTTTTTTTTTTTCTTTTCTTTTTTTTTTTAATGTTTTTTTTTTTATTATACTCTAAGTTTTAGGGTACATGTGCACATTGTGCAGGTTAGTTACATATGTATACATGTGCCATGCTGGTGCGCTGCACCCACTAACGTGTCATCTAACATTAGGTATATCTCCCAGTGCTATCCCTCCCCCCTCCCCCGACCCCACCACAGTCCCCCGAGTGTGATATTCCCCATCCTGTGTCCATGTGATCTCATTGTTCAATTCCCACCTATGAGTGAGAATATGCGGTGTTTGGTTTTTTGTTCTTGCGATAGTTTACTGAGAATGATGGTTTCCAATTTCATCCATGTCCCTACAAAGGACATGAACTCATCATTTTTTATGGCTGTATAGTATTCCATGGTGTATATGTGCCACATTTTCTTAATCCAGTCTATCATTGTTGGACATTTGGGTTGGTTCCAAGTCTTTGCTATTGTGAATAGTGCCACAATAAACATACGTGTGCATGTGTCTTTATAGCAGCATGATTTATAGTCCTTTGGGTATATACCCAGTAATGGGATTGCTGGGTCAAATGGTATTTCTAGTTCTAGATCCCTGAGGAATCGCCACACTGACTTCCACAATGGTTGAACTAGTTTACAGTCCCACCAACAGTGTAAAAGTGTTCCTATTTCTCCACATCCTCTCCAGCACCTGTTGTTTCCTGACTTTTTAATGATTGCCATTCTAACTGGTGTGAGATGATATCTCATAGTGGTTTTGATTTGCATTTCTCTGATGGCCAGTGATGATGAGCATTTCTTCATGTGTTTTTTGGCTGCATAAATGTCTTCTTTTGGGAAGTGTCTGTTCATGTCCTTCGCCCACTTTTTGATGGGGTTGTTTGTTTTTTTCTTGTAAATTTGTCTGAGTTCATTGTAGATTCTGGATATTAGCCCTTTGTCAGATGAGTAGGTTGCGAAAATTTTCTCCCATGTTGTCGGTTGCCTGTTCACTCTGATGGTAGTTTCTTTTGCTGTGCAGAAGCTCTTTAGTTTAATTAGATCCCATTTGTCAATTTTGGCTTTGGTTGCCATTGCTTTTGGTGTTTTGGACATGAAGTCCTTGCCCACGCCTATGTCCTGAATGGTAATGCCTAGGTTTTCTTCTAGGGTTTTTATGGTTTTAGGTCTAACGTTTAAATCTTTAATCCATCTTGAATTGATTTTTGTATAAGGTGTAAGGAAGGGATCCAGTTTCAGCTTTCTACATATGGCTAGCCAGTTTTCCCAGCACCATTTGTTAAATAGGGAATCCTTTCCCCATTGCTTGTTTTTCTCAGGTTTGTCAAAGATCAGGTAGTTGTAGATATGCGGCATTATTTCTGAGGGCTCTGTTCTGTTCCATTGATCTATATCTCTGTTTTGGTACCAGTACCATGCTGTTTTGGTTACTGGAGCCTTGTAGTATAGTTTGAAGTCAGGTAGTGTGATGCCTCCAGCTTTGTTCTTTTGGCTTAGGATTGACTTGGCGATGCGGGCTCTTTTTTGGTTCCATATGAACTTTAAAGTAGTTTTTTCCAATTCTGTGAAGAAAGTCATTGGTAGCTTGATGGGGATGGCATTGAATCTGTAAATTACCTTGGGCAGTATGGCCATTTTCACGATATTGATTCTTCCTACCCATGAGCATGGAATGTTCTTCCATTTGTTTGTGTCCTCTTTTATTTCCTTGAGCAGTGGTTTGTAGTTCTCCTTGAAGAGGTCCTTCACATCCCTTGTAAGTTGGATTCCTAGGTATTTTATTCTCTTTGAAGCAATTGTGAATGGGAGTTCACTCATGATTTGGCTCTCTGTTTGTCTGTTGTTGGTGTATAAGAATGCTTGTGATTTTTGTACATTGATTTTGTATCCTGAGACTTTGCTGAAGTTGCTTATCAGCTTAAGGATATTTTGGGCTGAGATGATGGGGTTTTCTAGATAAACAATCATGTCGTCTGCAAACAGGGACAATTTGACTTCCTCTTTTCCTAATTGAATACCCTTTATTTCCTTCTCCTGCCTGATTGTCCTGGTCAGAACTTCCAACACTATGTTGAATAGGAGCGGTGAGAGAGGGCATCCCTGTCTTGTGCCAGTTTTCAAAGGGAATGCTTCCAGTTTTTGCCCATTCAGTATGATATTGGCTGTGGGTTTGTCATAGATAGCTCTTATTATTTTGAAATACGTCCCATCAATACCTAATTTATTGAGAGTTTTTAGCATGAAGGGTTGTTGAATTTTGTCAAAGGCTTTTTCTGCATCTATTGAGATAATCATGTGGTTTTTGTCTTTGGCTCTGTTTATATGCTGGATTACATTTATTGATTTGCGTATATTGAACCAGCCTTGCATACCAGGGATGAAGCCCACTTGATCATGGTGGATAAGCTTTTTGATGTGCTGCTGGATTCGGTTTGCCAGTATTTTATTGAGGATTTTTGCATCAATGTTCATCAAGGATATTGGTCTAAAATTCTCTTTTTTGGTTGTGTCTCTGCCCGGCTTTGGTATCAGAATGATGCTGGCCTCATAAAATGAGTTAGGGAGGATTCCCTCTTTTTCTATTGATTGGAATAGTTTCAGAAGGAATGGTACCAGTTCCTCCTTGTACCTCTGGTAGAATTCGGCTGTGAATCCATCTGGTCCTGGACTCTTTTTGGTTGGTAAACTATTGATTATTGCCACAATTTCAGAGCCTGTTATTGGTCTATTGAGAGATTCAACTTCTTCCTGGTTTAGTCTTAGGAGAGTGTATGTGTCGAGGAATGTATCCATTTCTTCTAGATTTTCTAGTTTATTTGTGTAGAGGTGTTCGTAGTATTCTCTGATGGTAGTTTGTATTTCTGTGGGATCGGTGGTGATATCCCCTTTATCATTTTTTATTGTGTCTATTTGATTCTTCTCTCTTTTTTTCTTTATTAGTCTTGCTAGCGGTCTATCAATTTTGTTGATCCTTTCAAAAAACCAGCTCCTGGATTCATTGATTTTTTGAAGGGTTTTTTGTGTCTCTATTTCCTTCAGTTCTGCTCTGATTTTAGTTATTTCTTGCCTTCTGCTAGCTTTTGAATGTGTTTGCTCTTGCTTTTCTAGTTCTTTTAATTGTGATGTTAGGGTGTCAATTTTCGATCTTTCCTGCTTTCTCTTGTGGGCATTTAGTGCTATAAATTTCCCTCTACACACTGCTTTGAATGCGTCCCAGAGATTCTGGTATGTGGTGTCTTTGTTCTCGTTGGTTTCAAAGAACATCTTTATTTCTGCCTTCATTTTGTTATGTACCCAGTAGTCATTCAGGAGCAGGTTGTTCAGTTTCCATGTAGTTGAGCGGCTTTGAGTGAGATTCTTAATCCTGAGTTCTAATTTGATTGCACTGTGGTCTGAGAGATAGTTTGTTATAATTTCTGTTCTTTTACATTTGCTGAGGAGAGCTTTACTTCCAACTATGTGGTCAATTCTGTCTAGTTTTTATGTGAAGATATTTCCTATTTCACCATAGGCCATAAAAGGCTCACAAATATCCCACTGCAGTTTCTACGAAAAGACTGTTTCCAAAGTGCTCAATCAAAAGAAAGTTCCAACTCTGAGATGAATGCACACATCACAAATAAGTTTCTTAGAAGTCTTCTGTCTAGTTTATATGTGAGGATATTTCTTTTTCACCATAGGCCTCAAACACCTTGGAAATAGCCCTTCGCAGATTGTACAAAAAGACTCTGTCAAAATGGCTCAATCAAAAGAAAGGTTCAACTGTGTGAGATGAATGCAAGCATCACAACGAAGTTTCTTAGAATGCTTCTGTATAGTTTTTATGTTAGTATATTTCCTTTTTCACCACAGGCCCAAAGCTTTTCAAATATCCATTTGCAGATTCTTCAGAAAGACAGTTTCCAAACTGCTAACTGAAAGAAAGCTTCAACTCTGTGAAATAAATGCAGGCATCACAAAAAAAAGGTTCTCAGAATGCTTGTGTCTAGTTTTTATGTGAAGATATTTCCTTTTTCACCATAGGCCTCAAAGCGCTCCAAATATCCACTTGCAGATTCAACAAAAAGAGTGTTTCAGAAATACTCAATCAAAAGAAAGTGTGAACTCTTTGAGATGAATGCACACATCACAAAGAATTTTTTCAGAACGTTTTTGTCTAGTTATGATGTGAAGATAATATGCATTTGCAGATACTACGAAAAGAGAATTTCCAAACTGCTCAAACAAAAGAAAGTTTCACCCCTGTGAGATGAAATCACTCATCCTAAAGAAATTTCCCAGAATGCTTCCATTTAGTTTGTATGTGAAGATATTTCCTTTTTCACCATAGTCCTCAAAGCACTCCAAATATCCATTTGTAGATTTTACAAAAGGACTGTTTCCAAACTTCTACATCAAAAGAAACGTTCAACTCTTAGATAAATGCACACATCACAAATAATTTTCTCAGAATGCTTCTGTATCCTTTTTATGTGAAGTTATTTCCTTTTCACCATAGACCTGAAACAAGTCACAAATGTCCCTGTGTGGATATGACAAAAAGACTGTTGCCAAACTGCTCCATCAAAAGAAAGGTTCAACTCTGTGAGATGAATGCACACATCACAAAGAAGTTTCTCAGAATGCTTCTGTCTAGTTTTTATGTGAAGATAATTCCTTTTCCAACATATGTCTCAAAGCTCTCCAAATATCTCTTTGCAGATTCTACAAAAGGAGTGTTTCCAACCTGCTCAATCAAAAGAACACTTCAACTCTGTGTGATGAATGCACACATCCAAAGAAGTTTCCCAGAATGCTTCTGTGTAATTTCTATGTTAAGATATTTCCTTTTCCACCCCAGGCCTCAAACCTGTCACAAATATCCCTCTGCAAGTACCACAAAAAGACTCTTTCCAAACTGCCCCACCAAAAGAAAAGTTCAACTCTGGGAGATAAATGCACACATCACAAAGAAGTTTCTCAGAATGCTTCTCTCAAGTTTTATGTGAATATATTTCCTATTTCACCATTGGCTTCAAATTGCTACAAATATCCATTTGCAGATTCTGCAAAAACAGTGCTTCCAACCTCCTCAATCAAAAGAAAGGTTCAACTTTGTGAGATGAATGCACACAACAGAAAGAAGTTTCTCAGAATGCTTCTGTCTAGTTTTGATGTGAACATACTTCCTTCTTACCATAGGCCTTAAACCGGTCACAAATATGCCTCTGCAGATACTACAAAAGACTGTTTCCAAACTGCTGCATCAAAAGGAAGTTTCAACTCTGTGAGATGAATGAACGCATCAAAAAGAAGTTTCTCAGAATGCTTCTGCCTCGTTTTTATGTGAAGATATTTCCTTTTTCACCATAGTCCTCAAAGCACTCCAAATATCCATTTGCAAATTCTGCAAAAAGAGTGTTTCCAAACGGCGCAATCAAAAGAAGGGTTCAACAATGTGAGATGAATGCCCACACCACAAAGAAGTTTCTCAGAATGCTTCTGTCTAGTTTTTATGTGAATATATTTCCTTTTTACCATAGGCCTTAAACTGGTCAGAAATATGCCTCTGCACATACTAAAAAAGACTGTTTCCAAACTGCTGCATCAAAAGAAATGTTCAACTCTGTGAGATGAATGCAGACATCACAAAGAAGTGCCTGAGAATGCTTCTGTCTAGTTTTTATGTGAAGATATTTCCTTTTTCACCCTAGGCCTTAAATCTGTCACAAATATCCCACTGCACATATTACAAAAAGACTGTTTCAAAAGTGCTCCATCAATAGAAAGGTACAACTCTCAGAGATGGATGCACACATCACAAAGAAGTTTCTCAGAATGCTTCTGTCTAGTTTTTATGTGAAGATATTTCCATGTTCACCATAGGCCTCAAATCGCTCTAAATATCCATTTGCATATTCTACAAAAAGACTGCTTCCAAACTGCTCAATGAAAAGAAACGTTCAACTCTGTTAGATGAAAGCATACATCACAAAGAAGTTTCTCAGAAATGTTCTGTCAAGTTTTTATGTGAAGATATTTCCAATTACACCATAGGCCATAAAGGGCTCACAAATATCCCTGTGCAGATCTATGAAAAGACTGTTTATCAAACCATGCAATCAAAGGAAAGGTTCAACTCTGTGAGATGAATGCACACATCACAAAGAAGTTTCTCAGAATGCTTCTGTCTAGTTTTTTGTGAGGATATTTCTTTTTCAACATTGGCCTCAAACGGCTCAGACACATACCTTTGCAGCTTGTAAAAAAGACTGTTTCCAAACTGCTCAATCAAAAGAAAGGTTCAACTCTCTGAGATGAATTCAGGCATCATAAAAAAGTTTCTCAGAATGCTTCTGTCTTGTTTTTATGTGAAGATATCTCCTTTTTCACCATAGGCCTTAAACTGGTCACAAATATCCATCTACAGATACTACAAAAAGACTGTTTCCAAAGTGCTCAATCAAAAGAAAGATTCAACTTTGTGAGATGAAAGCATACATAACAAAGAAGTTTCCCAGAAAGCTTCTGTCTAGTTTTTATGTGAAGATATTTCCTATTTCACCATAGGCCATATAAGGCTCACAAATATCCCTGTGCAGATTCTACAAAAAGACTGTTTCAAAACTGCTAGATCAAAAGAGAGGTTCAACTTTGTGAGGTGAATGCATACATCACAAAGGAGATTCTCAGAATGCTTCTGTCTAGTTTTTATGTGAAGATATTTCCTTTTTCAATATAGGCCTTATAACAGTCACAAATATCCCTCTGCAGATACTACAAAAAGAATGTTTACCCACTGCTGCATCATAAGAAAGGTTCAACTCTGTGAGATGAATGCACACATGACAAAGAAGTTTCTCAGAATCCTTCTGTCTAGCTTTTATGTGAAGATATTTTATGTGAAGATATATGAACATAGTTTTGATGTGAAAATATTTCACCATAGGCCATAAAGGGCTCACAAATATCAATGTGCAGATTTTGTGAAAAGACTGCTTCCAAACTGCTCAATCAAAAGAAATGTTCAACTCTGTGAGAAGAGTGCACACATCACAAAAAGTTTCTCAGCATGTTTCTGCCTAGGTTTTATGTGAAGATATTTCTTTTTCACCATAGGCCTCGAACAGCTCAGAAATATCCCTTCACAGATTGTACAAAAACACAGTTTCCAAACTGCTCAATCAAAAGAAAGGTTTAATTCCATGAGATGAATGCAGGCATCACAAAGTATTTTCTCAGAATGCTTCTGTCTAGTTTTATATGAAGATATTTCCTTTTTCACCATAGGCCCCAAATAGCTCCAAATATCCATTTGCAGATTCTAAAAAAAGACTCTTCCCAAACTGCTTAATTAAATGAAAGGTTAAACTCTGTGAGATGAATACACACATCATGAAGAAGTTTCTCAGAATACTTCTGTGTAGTTTTTATGTGAAGATATTTCCTTTTTCAGCATTGGCCTCAAAGAGCTGCAAATATCCATTTTCATGTTCTACAAAAAGACTGTTTCCAAACTGCTCAATCAAAAGAAAGGTTCAATTCTGTGTGATGAAACCATACATTGCACAAAAGTTTCTCAGAAAGCTTCTGTCTAGTTTTTAGGTGAAGATACTTCCTATTTCACCATAGGCCATAAAAGGCTCACAAATATCCCTGTACAGATTCTACAAAAAAGACTCTTTCCAAACTGCTTACTCAAAAGATAGGTTCAACTTCATAAGATGAATGCGCAGATCACGTAGAAGTTTCTTAGAAAGCTTCTGTTTACTTTTTATGTGAATATATTTCGTTTTTTCACCATAGGCCTGGCCTCAAAGTGCTAAAATATCCATTTGCAGATTCTACAAAAAGACGGTTTCCAAACTCCTCAATAAAAAGAATGGTTCAAGTCTGAGAGATGAAAGCACACATCACAAAGAAGTTGCTCACAATTCTTCTGTCTGATTTTTATGTTAAGATATTTCCTTTTCACCATATGTCACAAAGTGCTCCAAATATCCCTGGGCGAATTCTACAAAAGGCTGTTTTGAAACTGCTTAATCAAAACAAAGTTCCAACACTGTGAGATGAAGCACACATCACAAAGAAGTTTGTCAGAAAGCTTCTGTCTGGTTTTTAAGTGAAGATATTTCCTATTTCAACATAGGCCTCAATGGGCTCACAAATATCTCTTTACAGATTGTACAAAAAGACTGGTTCCAAACTACTCCATCAAAAGAAAGTTTCAACTCACTGAGAGGAATGCACACATCACAAAGAAGTTTCTCAGAATGCTTCTGCATAATATTTATGTGAAGACACTTCTTTTTCACCATAGACCTCAAAAAGCTCAGAAATAACCCTTTGCTGATTGTGCAAACAGATTTTTTCCAAACTGCTCAATCAAAAGAAAGCTTCAAGTCTTTGAGGTGAATGCACACATCACAAGGAAGTTTCTCAGAAAGATTCTGTCTAGTTTTCATGTGAATATATTTCCTTTTTCACCATAGGCCTCCAACTGCTGAAAATTAACCCTCTGTAGATAGTACAAAAAGACTGTTTCCAAACTGCGCAATCAAAAGAAAGGTTCACCTCTGTGAGATGAATGCACACAACACAAAGAAGTTTCTCAAAACGCTTCTCTCTAGTTTTCCAGTGAAGACATTTCCGTTTTCATCATAAGGTCAAACTGCTCACAAATATCTCTCTGCAGAATCTACAAAAAGACTCTTTACAAACTGCTCAAGCAAAAGAAGTTTCAACTCTGTGCAATGAATGCACACATCACAAAGTAGTTTCTCAGAAACCCTCTGTCTAGTTTCTATGTGAAGATATTTCCTTTTTCAACATAGGCCTCAAAGCACTTCAAATATCCATTTGCACATTCTATAAAAAGATGGTTTCCAAACTGCTCAATTAAAAGAAAGGTTCAACCCTGTGAGATGAAAGCACACATTACAAAGCAATTTCTCAGAATGCTTCCGTCTAGTTTTTATGTAAAGATATTTCCATTTTCACCATAGGCCTCAAGCCACTCACAAATATCCCTCTGCAAATTGCACAAAAAGACTGTTTCCAAACTGATCAATCAAAAGAAATGTTCAACTCTGTGACATGAAAGTACACATCAAAAACAAGTTTCTCAGAAAGATTCTGTCTAGTTCTTATGTGAAGATATTTCCTTTTTCATGATAGGCCTTAATGCGCTAACAAATATCCCATTGCAGATTCTACATAAAGACTGTTTCCAATCTGCTCAATCAAAAGAAAGTTTCAAATCCATGAGATGAATGCACACATCACAAAGAAGTCTCTCAAAAACATTATGTCTAGTTTTTATGTGAAGATATTTCATTTTTCACCACAGTCCTCAAAGCGCTCAAAATATCCATTTACAGATTCCACAAAAAGGCTGTTTCCAAACTGCTCAATCAATAGAAAGCATCAAAACTGTGAGATGAAAGTGCACCTCACAAAGAAGTTTCTCAGAAAGCTTCTGTCTAGTTTTTATGTGAAGATACTTCCTATTTCACCATAGACCTCAATGGGCTCACAAATATCCCTTCGCAGATTCTACAAAAAGACTGTTTACAAACTGCTCAATCAAAAGAAAGGTTCAACACTTTGAGATAAATACACACATCACAAAGAAGTTTCTAAGAATGCTTCTGCTTAGTTTTTATGTGAAGATATTTCCTTTTTCACCATATGCCTCAAACGCCTCAAACACATCCTTCTGCAAATACTTCAAAAAGACTGTTTCCAAAATGCTCAATCAAAAGAAAAGTTCAACTCTGTGAGATGAATGCACACATCACAAAGAAGTTTCCCAGAAATTTTGTGTCTAGTGTTTATGTGAAGATATTTCTTTTTCACCATAGGCCTCAAACCACTCAGAAATTTCCCCTTGCACATTGTATAAAAAGACTGTTTCCAAAGTGCTACATTAAAAGAAAGGTTCAACCTTGTGAGATGAATGCACATATCACAAATAAGTTTCTCAAAAAGATTCTATCTAGTGTTTATGTGAAGATATTTCCTTTTTTCACCTTAGGCCTCAAAGCGCTCCAGTATCCATTTGAAGATTCTACAAAAAGACTGTTTCCACACTACTCAATCAAAAGAAAGGTTCACATCTGTGAGATGAAAGCACACATCACAAAGAAATTTCTCAGAAAGATTCTGTCTAATTTTTATGTGAACATATTACCTGATTTCACCATAGGCTTCAAAGCGCTCCAAATATCCATTTGCAGAGTCTACAAAATGACTGTCTCCAAACTGCTCAATCAAAAGAAAAGCTCAACTCTGTGAGATGAAACACACAACAAAAAGAAGTTTCTCAGAATGTGTCTGTCTAGTTTTTATGTGAAGATATTTCCTATTTCACCATAGGCCTCAAAGGGCTCACAAATATCCCTTTGCAGATTCTACAAAAGACTGCTTCCAGACTGCACAATGAATAGAAAGATTCAAATGTGTGAGATGAATGCAAGCATCAAAAGAAGTTTCTCAGAATGCTTCTGCCTAGTTTTTACGTGAAGATATTTCTTTTTCACCATAAGCCTCAAAACGCTAACAAATATCCCTCTGAGGAATCTACAAAAAGACTGTTTTTCAAACTGCTCAATCAGAAGAAAGTTTCAACTTTGTTAGATGAATGCACAAATCAAAAAGAACTTTCTCAGAAAGTGTCTGTCTAGTTTTTATGTGAAGATATTTCCTTTTTCACCACAGGCCTCAAAGTGCTGTAAATATCCATTTGCAGTTTCTATGAAAAGACTGTTTCCAAACTGTTCAATCAAAAGAACGGTTCAACTCTGTGAGATGAAGGCATACATCACTAGAAGTTTCTCAGAAAGCTTCTGTTTAGTTTTTATGTGAAGATATTTCCTTTTTCACCATAGGCCTCAAAGGGCTCACAAATATCCCTTTTCAGATTCTACAAAAAGACTGTTTCCAAACTGCTCAATTAAAACGAAGTTTCAAATCTGTGAGATGAATGCACACATGGCAAAGAAGATTCTCAGAATGCTTCTGTCTTGTTTTTATGTGAAGATATTTCCTTTTTCACCGTTGACCACAAAGCACTCCAAATATCCACTTGCAAATTGTACAAAAGTCTGTTTCCAAACTGCTCAATCGAAAGAAAGGTTCAGCTCTGTGAGATGAAAGCACAAATCACAAAGAAGTTTCTCAGAAAGCTTCTGTCTAGTTTTTATGTGAATATTTTTCCTATATCACCATATGCCTCAAAGAGTTACAAATGTCTCTTTTCAGATTCTACAAAAAGACTCTTTCCAAACTGCTCAATCAAAAGAAACGTTCAGCAATGTGAGATGAATGTACAAATCACAAAGCAGTTTCTCAGAATATTTCTGTGTAGTTTTTATGTGAAGACATTTCCTTTTTCACATAGGACTCAAACCGCTCACAAATATCCCTCTGCATATTCTATGAAAAGACAGTTTATAAACTTCTCAATCAAAAAGAAGTTTGAACTCTGTGAGATTAATGCACAAATCACAAAGAAGTTTCTCAGAATGCTTCTGTCTAGTCTTTGTTTGAAATATTTCCTTTGTTACAAAGGACTCAAAGCTCTCCAAATATCCATTTGCAAATGCTACAAAAAGGCTGTTTCCAATAAGCTCAATCAAAAGAAAGCTTCAACTCTATGAGGTGAAAGCACACATCACAAAGAAGTGTCTCAGAAATCTTCTGTCTAACTTTTATGTGAAGATGTTTCTTTTTTACCATAGCCTCAAACCACTCACAAATATCCCTTTGCATATTACACAAAAAGACTGTTTCCCAAACTGCTCAACCAAAAGAAACTCTCAACTCTGTGAGATAAATGCACACATCACATAGCAGTTCCTCAAAAACTTCTGTCTAGTTTTTATGTGAAGATATTTCCTTTTGCACCATAGGTCTCAAACCTCTCACAAATATCCCTCTGCAGATTCGACTAAGAGATGGTTTCCAAACTGCTCAATGAAAAGAAATTTTCAACTCAGTGAGATGAATACACACATCCAAAGAAGTTTCTCAAAAAGCTTCTGTCTACTTTTTATGTGAAGATATTTCCTTTTTCACCAGAGGCCTCAAACCAATCACAAATATCTCCCTGAGGAATCCACAAAAAGACGGTTTCCAAAGTGCTCAATCAAAGCAAAGTTTCAACCCAATGAGATGAATGCACACATCACAAAGAAGTTTCCCAGAAAGCTTCTGTCTAGTTTTTATTTGAAGATATTTCATTTTTCACCATAGACCTCAAAGCTCTTTAATATCCCTTTGCAGATTCTACACAGAGATTGTTTCCAAACTGCTCTATCAAAAGAAAGGTTCGACTCTATGTGATGAAAGCACACACCACAAAGAAGTTTCTCAAAAAGCTTCTGTCTAGTTTTTATGTGAAGATATTTCCTTTTTCACCATAGGCCTCAAACTGCTCAGAATTATCCCTCTGCAAATTGTACAAAAATATTGTTTCCAATCCGCTCTATCAAAAGAAAGGTTCGACTCTATGTGATGAAAGCACACACCACAAAGAAGTTTCTCAAAAAGCTTCTGTCTAGTTTTTATGTGAAGATATTTCCTTTTTCACCATAGGCCTCAAACTGCTCAGAATTATCCCTCTGCAAATTGTACAAAAATACTGTTTCCAATCCGCTCAATCAAAAGTAAGGTTCAAATCCGTGAGATGAATGCATACATCACAAAGAGGTTTCTCAGAAAGCTGCTATTTACTTTTTACGTGAAGATATTTCATTTTTCACCATAGTCCTCAAAGCGCTCCAAATATCCACATGCAGATTCTACAAAAAGACTGTTTCCAAACTGCTCAATCAAAAGAAAGATTCAACTCTGTGAGATGAAAGAACACATCTTCAAGAAGTTTCTCAGAAAGTTTCTGTCTGGTTTTCATGTGAAGATATTTCCTTTTTCATTGTAGTCCTTAATGGACTCACAAATATCCCTTTGCAGATTGTACAACAAGACTCTTTCAAAACTGCTCATTCAAAATAAAGGTTCAGCTCTGTGAGATGAATACACACATCACGAAGAAGTTTCTGAGAATCCTTCTGTGTAGTTTTCTGTGAAGATATTTCCTTTTTCAGATAGGAATCAAACCACTCACAGATTTGCAAAAAGACTCTTTCCAAAGTGCACAATCAAAAGAAAGGTTCAGCTCCCTGAGATGAATGCACACATGACAAAGAAGATTCTCAGAATGCTTCTGTCTAGTTTTTATGTGAAGATATTACCTTTTTCACGATAGGCCTCAAACCACTCACAATTATCTCTCTGCAGATTCTACAAAAAGACTGTTTCCAAAGTTCTCTATGAAAAGAAAGTTCAACTCTGTGAGATGAATTCCCACATCACAAAGAAGTTTCTCAGAACGTTTTTGTCTAGTTTTTATGTAAAGATATTTCCTTTTCCACCATAGGCCTCAATCTGCTCACAAACATCCCTCTGCAGATTCTAAAAACAGACTGTTTCCCTGAACAACCTGCTCCTGAATGACCACTGGGTATATAATGAAACGAAGGCAGAAATAGAGATTTTCTTTGAAATCAATGAGAACAATGACACAACATACCAGAATCTCTGGGACACATTCAAAGCAGTGTGTACAGGGAAATTTATAGCAATAAATGCCCACAAGAGAAAGCAGGAAAGATCAAAAATTGACAACCTAACATCACAATCGATTGAGCTAGAAAAGCAAGAGCAAACACATTCAAAAGCTAGCAGAAGGCAAGCAATAACTAAGATCAGAGCAGAACTGAAGGTAATAGGACACAAAATCCCTTCAAAAAATTAATGAATCCAGGAGCTGTTTTTTGAAAGGATCAACAAAATTGATAAACCACTAACAAGACTAATAAAAAAGAAAAGAGAGAAGAATCAAAGAGACACAATAAAAATTGATAAAGGGGATATCACAACTGATCCCACAGAAATACAAGCTACCATCAGAGAATACTATAAACACCTCTACATAAATAAATTAGAAAATCTAGAAGACATTGATAAATTCCTCAACACATACATCCTCCCAAGACTCAACTAGGAAGAAGTTGAATCTCTGAATAGATCAATAGCAGTCTCTGAAATTGAGGCAATAATTAATAGCTTACCAACCAAAAAAAGTCCAGGACCAGATGGATTCACAGCCGAACTCTACCAGAGGTAAAAAGAGGAGTTGGTACCATTCCTTCTGAAACTATTCCAATCAATAGAAAAAGAGGGAATCCTCCCTAACTCATTTTATGAGGCCAGCATCATCCTGATAACAAAGCCTGGCAGAGACACAACCAAAAAAAGATAATTTTAGACAAATATCCTTGATGAACATTGATGCAAAAATCCTCAATAAAATACTGGCAAACCGAAACCAACAGCACATCAAAAAGCTTGTCCACCATGATCAAGTGGGCTTCATCCCTGGGATGCAAAGCTGGTTCAACCTATGCAAATCAATAAACGTAATCCAGCATATAAACAGAACCAAAGACAAAAACCACATGATTATCTCAATAGATGCAGAAAAGGCCTTTGACAAATTTCAACAACCCTTCATGCTAAAAACTCTCAATAAATTAAGTATGATGGGATGTATCTCAAAATAATAAGAGCTATCTATGACAAACCCACAGCCAATATCATACTAAATGGGCAAAAACTGGAAGCATTGCCTTTGAAAACGGGCACAAGACAGGGATGCCCTCTCTCACCACTCCTATTCAACGTAGTGTTGGAAGTTTTGACAAGGGCAATCAGGCAGGAGAATGAAATAAAGGGTATTCAATTAGGAAAAGAGGAATTCAAATTGTCCCTGTTTGCAGATGACATGATTGTACATCGAGAAATCCCCATCATCTCAGCCCAAAATCTCCTCAAACTGATAAGCAAATTCAGCAAAGCCTCAGGATACAAAATAAATGTACAAAAATCACAAGCACTCTTACACATCAATAACAGACAAACAGAAAGCCAAATTCTGAGTGAACTCCCATTCACAATTGCTTCAAAAACAATAAAATACCTAGGAATCCAACTTACAAGGGATGTGAAGCACCTCTTCAAGGAGAACAACAAACCTCTGCTCAATGAAATAAAAGAGGATACAAACAAATGGAAGAACATTCCATGCTCATGGGTAGGAAGAATCAATGTCGTGAAAATGGCCATACTGCCCAAGGTAATTTACAGATTCAATGCCATCCCCATCAAACTACCAATGACATTCTTCACAGACTTGGAAGAAACTACTTTAAACTTCATATGGAACCAAAAAAGAGGCTGCATCACCAAGTCAATCCTAAGCCAAATGAGTAAAGCTGGAAGCATCACGCTACCTGACTTCAAACTATACTGCAAGGCTACAGTAACCAAAACAGCATGGTACTTGCAGCAAAACAGAGATATAGATCAATGGAACAGAACAGAGCCCTCAGAAATAGTGCCACGTATCTACAACTATCTGATCTTTGACAAACCTGACAAAAACAAGCAATGGGGACAGGATTCCCTATTAAATAAATGGTTCTGGGAAAACTGGCTAGCCGTATGTAGAAAGCTGAAACTGGATCCTTTCCTTACACCTTATACTAAAATTAATTCAAGATGAATTAAACACTTAAATGTTAGACCAAAAACCATAAAAACCCTAGAAGAAAACCTAGGCAATACCATTCAGGACATAGGCAACATAGGCATGGGCAAGGAAAAACAACAAAAGCAATGACAACAAAAGCCAAAATTAACAAATGAGATCTAATTAAACTAAAGAGCTTCTGCACAGCAAAAGAAACTACCATCAGAGTGAACAGGCAACCTACAGATTGGGAGAAAATTTTTGCAGCCTACTCATCTGACAAAGGGCTAATATCTAGAATCTACAATGAACTCAAACAAATTTACAAGAAAAAACAAACAACCCTATCAAAAAGTGGGCAAAGAATATGAACAGACACTTCTCAAAAGAAGACATTTATGCAGCCAAAAAACACGTGAAAAAACGCTCATCATACCTGGCCATCATCGAAACGCAAATCAAAACTACTATGGGATACCATCTCACACCAGTTAGAATGCTGATCATTAAAAAGTCCGGAAACAACAGGTGCTGGAGAGTATGTGGAGAAATAGCAACAGTTTTACACTGTTGCTGGGACTGTAAACTAGTTCAACCATTGTGGAAGTCAGTGTGGTGATTCCTCAGGAATCTAGAACTAGAAATACCATTTGAACCAGCCATCCCATTACAGGATATATACCCAAAGGATTATAAATCTTGCTGCTATAAAGACACATGCACATGTATGTTTATAGCAGCACTATTCACAATAGCAAAGACTTCGAACCAACCTAAGTGTCCAACAATGATAGACTGGATTAAGAAAATGTGACACATATACACCATGGAATACTATACAGCCATCAAAAGTGATGAGTTCATGTCATTTGTAGGGACATGGATGAAACTGGAAACCATCTTTCTGAGCAAACTATCGCAAGGACTAAAAACCAAACACCGCATGTTCTCACTCATAGGTGGGAATTGAACAATGAGAACACATGGACACAGGAAGGGGAACATCACACACCGGGGACTGCTGGGGCTGGGGGGAAGGGTGGTGGATAGCATTAGGAGATATATCTAATGCTAAATTACGAGTTAATGGGTGCAGCACGAAAACATGGCACATGTATACATATGTAACAAAACTGCACGTTGTGCCCATGTACCCTAAATCTTAAAGTATAATAATAATGAAATAAAAAATTAAAAAGGTACCCTGAGAACCTCTGATTCAAATAAAGAACAGAGTTAATAAGAGTTTTCCTAAAAAAAAAAAAGAGGAGTTTCTCAGAAAGCTTCTGTCTAGTTTTTATTTGAAGGCATTTCCTATTTCACCGTAGACCTCTATGGGCTCACAAATATCCCTTTGCAGATTATACAAAAAGACTGTTTCCAAACTGCTCCATCAAAAGAAAGGTTCACTCTGTGAGATGAAAGAACACATAACAAAGAAGTTTCTCAGAATGCTTCTGTCTAGTTTTTATGTGAAGATATTTCCTATTACACCATAGGCCTCAATTTGTTCAAAAGTATCTATTACAGATTCTACAAAAAGTCTGTTTCCAAACTGCTTAATAAAAAAAGTTTCAATCTGTGAGATGAGTACACACATCACAAAGAAGTTTCTCAGAATGCTTCTCTCTAGTTTTTATTTGAAGATATTTCCTTCTTCACCGTAGGCCTAAAACTGCTCACATATATCCCTCTGCAGATTCCACAAAAAGACTGTTTCCAAACTGCTCAATCAAAAGAAAGTTTCAACTCTGTGAGATGAATGCAGACATCACAAAGATGTTTCTCAGAAATCTTCTGTTTAGTTTTTATGTGACGATATTTCCTTTTTCACTATAAGCCTTAAAGCGTTCCAATATCCATTCGCAGATTCAACAAAAAGGCTGTTCCCAAACTGCTCAATCAAAAGAAAAGTTCAACTCTTGAGATGAATGCACACATCACAAAGAAGTTTATCAGAATCTTTCTGTATGGTTTTTTTGTGAAGATACTTCTTT
Organism: Homo sapiens; assembly: GCF_000001405.40. Classification (NCBI taxonomy): domain Eukaryota; kingdom Metazoa; phylum Chordata; class Mammalia; order Primates; family Hominidae; genus Homo; species Homo sapiens. The sequence continues at coordinate 61,325,497 of NC_000007.14, forward strand.
TTCACCATCGGCCTTAATGGGATCACAAATATCCCTTTGCAGATTCTACAAAAACAGTTTCCAAACTGCTCAATCAAAAGAAAGATTCAACTCTCTGAGATGAATGCAGACATCACAAAGAAGTTTCCCAGAAAGGTTCTGTCTAGTTTTTAAGTGAAGATTTCCTTTTTCACCATAGGCCTTAAAGCACTTTGAATATCCATTCGTAGATTCCACAAAAAGACTGTTTCCAAACTGCTCAATGAAACGAAAGGTTCAACTCTGTGACATGAAAGCACACATCTCAGAGAAGTTTCTCAGAAACCTTCTGTTTAGTTTTCATGTGAAGATATTTCCTGTTTCGCCATAGACCTCAAAGGGCTCACAAATATCCCTTTGCAGATTCCACAAAAAGACTGTTTGCAAAGTGCTCAATCAAAAGGAAGGTTCAACACTGTGAGATAAATGCACACATCACAAAGACGTTTCTCAGAATGCCTCTGTCTAGTTTTTATGTGAAGATATTTCATTTTCACCAAAGGTCTCAAACCGCTCAGAAATATCCCTTTGCAGATTGTACAAAAAGACCGTTTCCAAACTGCTCAATAAAGAGAAAGTTTCATCTCTGTGAGATGAATGCAAACATCACAAATAAGTTTCTCAAAAAACTTCTGTCTAGCTACTATATGAAGATATTTCCTTTTTCACCATAGGCCTCAAAGTGCTCAGAAATATCCCTTTGCAGATTCTACAAAAAGACTGTTTGCAAACTGCTCAATCAAAAGAAAGCTTCAACTCTGTTTGATGAATGCACACTTCACAAAGAAGTTTCTCAGGATGCTTCTGTCTAGTTTTTATTTAAAGATATTTCCTATTTCACCATAGACCTCATGTGGCTCACAAATATCCCTTTGCAGATTCTGCAAAAAGACTTTTTCCAAACTGCTCAATCAAAATAAATGTTCAACACTGTGAGATGAATGCACACATCACAAATAAATTTCTCAGACAACTTCTGTCTAGTTTTTATGTGAAGATATTTCATTTTTCAACATTTGCTTCAATGAGCTTCAAACATCCCTTTGCATATTCTACAAAAACACTGTTTCCAAACGGCTCAAACAAAAGAAAAGTTCAACTCTGGGAGATGAATGCACACATCACAAAGAAGTTTCTCAGAAAGCTTCTATCTAGTTTCTATGTGAAGATATTTCCTTTTCCACCATAGGCCTCAATGCACACAAAATATGCCTTGACAGATTCTACAAAAGACTGGTTCCAAACTGCTCAATCAAAATAAGGGTTCTACTCTGTGACGTGAATGCACACATCATAAGAAGCTTCTCAGAAAGCTTCTGTCTGGTCTTTATGTTGAGATATTTCCTTTTTCACCATTTGAATCAAAGAGCTCCATATATCTATTCACAGATTCTACATAAAGACAGTTGCAAAACTGCTCAATGAAAAGAAATTTTCAAATCTGTGAGATGAATGCACACATCACAAAGAAGCTTCTTAAAAAGCTTGTCTAGTTTTTATGTGAAGATATTTCCTTTTACACCATAGGCCTCAAATCACTCACAAATATACCTCTGCAGATTCTACAAAAGGACTGTTTCCAAACTGCTCAATCAAAAGAAAGTTTCAACTCTGTGAGATGAATGCACATATCACAAAGTAGTTTCTCAGGAAGCTTCTGTCTAGTTTTTATGTGAAGATATTTGCTTTTTTACCATGGGCCTCAAAGTTTTCCCACTATCCCTTTGTAGACTGTACAAAAGGACTGTTTGCAAACTGATCAATCAAAAGACAGTTTCAACTCTGTGAGATGAAAGCATACAACACAGAGAAGTTTCTTAGAAAGCTTCTTTGTAGTTTTTATGTGAAGATATTTCCTTTATCACCATAGGCCTCAAAGGGCTCATAATTATCCCTTTGAAGATTCCATAAAAAGACAGTTTCCAAACTGCTCAATCAAAAGAAAGTTTCAACTCTGTGAGATAAGTGCACACATCACAAAGAAGTTTCTCAGAAAGCATCTGTCTAGTTTTATGTGAAGATTTTTCTTATTTACCATAGGCTGCAAAGCACTCCAAATATGCCTTTGCAGATTCTACAAAAAGACTGTTTCCAAACTGCTCAAAGAAAAAAAAGTTCAAATCTGGGAGATGAATGCACACGTCACAAAGAAGTTTCTTGGAAAGCTTCTGTATAGTTTTTATATTGAGAAATTTCCCTTTCCACCATGGACCTCAAAGCACTCCAAGCATCCATACACAGATGCTACAAAAAGAAAGTATGCAAACTGCTCAA